>NC_000001.11:232850788-233002303 GCF_000001405.40 Homo sapiens
CCTTCTATCACATTGAGGAAGTTGTCTTTTATACCTAGTTTTTCGGTATTTTTATTATTATAAGCCATTGTATTTTGTCAAAAAATATTTCTGTTTCTATGGAGATGATCATGTAGTTATTATTTTATTATATTAATGTGGTGCATTATATTAACTAATCTTTGTATATCAAACCAGCCTTGCCTGTCTTGGATAAATTGTATTTGGTTAGGGTGTGTAATTATTTGTATAATCTTCATATGTTGTTAGCTTTGGTTTACTTATATTTTGTGGCTAATTTTTGCCTCTATATTCATAAAAGGTATCGGTTTGTAGTTTTCTTGTGATGGCTTTATTAGCTTTGTTATCAGGATACTTCTTCCTTCAGAGAATGACTCAGAAAGACCTCCCTGCTTTTGTAAATTTTGGAAGCGTTTATGAAAGATTGTTGCTACGTCTATTCTAAACATTTTTAAAATTTACCAGTGAAGCCATCTGAAATTGGGCTTTTCTTTTTTTGGAAAGTATTTTTTGCTGATAACTCACCATCTTTACTTGTTCTAGATCTATTTAGATTTCCTATTTCTTCTTGAGATAGAAGCCCATTGTTCCCTCTCCAGTGACTACTGGTCTTCTGGTTTTCATGAATATCTTGATTGACCATTTGTTGGTTTTTATGGATAGAGGGCTGGGGAGAGGGTTCTGAGAATTGAGCAAGTTACACCACCCCAAAGGTTGTTGTTTTTACTAAGATGTAACTGTTTTTCTCGAATAAATTCTCCTCAGATTTTTGCAAGCCTTTGATTATTTCCAAAGTTCTGAAAAAGATTATTTGATTTTTTTCCTACAGTCCTTATTTCTTCGATAGAGGAACAGATTTTCAGATGTTCTTATTTGGCCGTTCCTACTTACATCACTCCCAAAGATTTATTTGTATGTGCCATAATTAGAAGTGACCTTACAATTTAATCCAGGCCAAGTGTCTAATTTCATAGATATACAGCAGAAGAACAGAAGATGTAATCTTTCTTTTCTGAACTTAGGAGGTCCTAAGAGTGTCTTAACTTTGAGACCCTTAAAAGCAGGGACTTTTTCTTTCTCACCGTGTATCCATAAGAGCCTAGTACTGTTCAGCACGTGCCAAGTGTACAAAAAAAAAAAGTTGCTCTCTTTGTTTGTCTGTATATTTGAATAGTATCCCCATGTGTATATTTGAATAGTATCCCTATGCCACTGCATGCCTTGCATTTTATAAATCAACTGGAAAAGTGAAGATCCCTAGGGCCAAGAGTGGGATGTGCCTGAGGTTAAATTCGGTATCTCTCTCACGTAGCAATACCAGACAACTGTCAATTATATGCAGAAGTCTTATAGACTCTGTAGTCTGGAAGTTTAATGTTAATGCCTCAGCCTATACCTGGCATAATATTGATTTAGTTCAATTTTCTAAATCTCTGGCCTGTACATTTACAATAATAATCATTTTAATAGTGGGATTGAAACCCTTCGAAAGCCTGAAAAACATCCCGAAAGATATAAGAACAATAATGAAAGAAAACTATTTCTTTCAAGATACTTTTATTGTGTACAAGTTTTTGACAGCAGCTAAATCATTCACTCATTTCTTTAACAGATAATTATTGAGTACCTACTGTATGCCAGGCCTTATGCTAAGTGCTGGGGTTATAATGGTGACTAAGACAAGCATGGCTTCATTCCCTCTTAGAAAGTAAATGCTAACTCCAATCCAAGCAGAAAATGAGAATGGAATCACCAGAGTGCCTCATCCACAGCCATTCTGGATAAGCAGATATATACTGAAATAATATCACTAGAATATCTTCTGGCATACTGCAAGCTCATGGGGGGTTGAAACCATTTTCAACTAATTTCCCTGTATTCCTCTCCTTTTTCTTCATCACTTGGTAACTTACTTCTCCAAGACTTCTGGTGTGGATTTTCCACACCTTCTGTGGTCTCTTCACTTCCCCCATCTTTTCCATTTATTTTCTTCTTCATCCCCTCACAGAAAAGCCTGATGGCATGTTTCCTTATTTAAATAGTTTGTTCCTTAAATATAGAGTGCAGGGTAAGATGTAGGAATATGTAAAGAAAGTCACCAAGGGGACGGTACAGTTTCAGAGACTCCAGGACTTCTCTACCCCATCAGTGCTTGGCACTGCGTAATTGGAGAGTCTTATTTCATTTCAGAAAGCTGTGGGATCTGCCTAAAATGCAAATACCCCTGGGGAAATTGTTGTTTTGAGTCTTATAAGTTATTTCTATATTGAAGTGAATGAGCTTATTTAAACCTTTTCTGAGAACAGATTTTGAGTGGGAAAGATAGAAAAATTGTGAGCAGTAGGTAACTGAAATTATTGAGGGAGGAGGTGGAAAAGGGAGGTTGAGGATACCACCATTATGAAGGAGAAGCAAGTCAGCTTTTCACACTAGACCGAATTTCCTGTACTTTCAAACTATACTGCTAAGTTCCTTTAAAATGCTCTCAGAAATTACATTAACGATTAAAATTATCTTAATGGTAAGTACTCAAGTTGCACTGAATGTGACACTTGGGATGGAATGACACTTGGGTTATATGAAAGGATTTGGAATTCTTCCCTATGTATTCGGTGCCTCTGATGTATTTCTTTCCTGCAAACCCCTTCCCACCCCAATTTTAAGGGTGAGAATTCTTGGCTTTCTGAGTACAAAGTACTGAATACTAAGTCAGTGGATTCAAAATTGAGATTAAAGAAGAACATAAATGAGATTTTTAGAATGATCAAAAAAGCACCGAAATTTACAGTCAGAACAGAAACTAAGTGCTTATTTTATAGATGAGGATACAGGCTGAGGTTTGGTTAGATCATTTCTTAAAATATGTCACATTCCTTATCTTCTGCCATGCCTATATGTCAATTTCTGCCTCATACACACAAATCTAGATGTTTCTGTACAAATATTTTCACTCTCTTCAGGAATGCAGTTCAGACCATAATCATTAATTATTCTTTTAGTTTCAGGAGGACTGTTTTAATCATTTTTTCAATTTTAACTAATCAATTTTAATGATATATTTTACAGTAATATTAAACAATAAGGTTTTTAATATGAAAGAAATGTCTTAAATGAACTCAGCATTTAAATGAATAGCAGTTGTGTGAAATTGTGTGTGATACCATCCAATATAAAATATGTGGACATAACAATTACAGACCATCTGTTAAACTGGCATCTTGTTGTACAGGAATGAAATTTCAATTAAATTTTATTATCAGGAAGTGTAGATGACAGATCCCATATGAAAGTCCACAGCCAGTAAACTGTCTAAATAAAGAGTGGGATGTCATACAGTTAATGAGTTGGATCGAGTTTCCTGATTACATACTTTGTAAATAATGTGCTTGTTCACCAGCTTTTGGAAATGAGTACTGCTTGTAAGGATGGTGGTTGTTTTTAAAGCGATGCCCATATGGAAGGTAAATTGCAATGGTCGTGCGACACAGTCCAGTCATCTGGTTAATGTATGATTCACCACTTTAGCTGGAGAGACTGAAATTAAACCATGCATGAGATAAAAGAATGACTTGAAAGTGGAGAAACAAAAATCAGATCTCAACCATCTCTAAAGAATTTTGACTTACTGGAAGCCATGTATCCATGGCTCATAGACCAATTCACAACTGCAAGGAACTGACGTCATGATCCAACAGCGGGTTCAGATGTGGGTTTGAATCATCAGAGAGGGAGAAAGTCTAATAGTATCAGCAAGTCTCAGGACAAGGGTCTGGATTATTAATGGGAGAACAAATGAGCTTATAGTTTTTGACAGTGAAATGTGTCTCATAACTCATTGGGCAAGTTCCTCATTTTCTGCTGTCACTGTTATTAATATCTATTGTTGCTTGGGGTAGTCAAGAAAAAAAAGAAACCATACCCAAAAATCTAATTGCTCCAGTGGCAACGTGGAGTGTTGTCAGAAAGAAGCTTAATTCTCATTCCATAAAACAAGCTAAGAAGAATCTCAAGCCATTTCTCTTTACTATGCTTCTGAAAAACGCATAATTAAGTAGTGCTCTAATGGATCATAAAATGCATAATCCACAGCTGTGGACCCTTGGAAAGTTATTCAAACTCTTCCAGGACTTATGCTGAATAATATCTGTGTGATTTAGTAGGCAGGATACAGCACAGGACAGGATTTGCCAGAGGCATCTTCAGCTGGGTGACCCGTCCACTCTGGGCCCTGATACTTCCACATTTCAAGGTTACTGAAAGGATACCATATCCTAGAAAGGGAGCTCTTCTGTGGACTTTTACTGTTATGTTAGCTCTTCTAGCTTTTAATGGAGAGTGAATATTTTTTTCTTCTTTCTATTGGCTTTTACTTGGATTAAGGCTATGTAAATCCACATTTTTTGGAGATAGGGTAGAAAAAATAATATGCTATGGAGTGCCTGGCACTAAGGCCAAGGCTAGCCTTGGGGTGACACCAGAATAGCAGGCAAGTGTCAAGATTGCAGATGAGATTTTGCTTAATTTTTAAGAATTTTCTTATAGGATATAATTTACAAACAGTGAAAGACACAGATCTTAAGTCTATGGTTCAATCATTTTTGACAAATTATATACCCATGTAATTCACACTCCTTTCAATATATAGAATATTTCCGTGACACCAGAAAGTCTTCTTGTGCCTCTTCCCAGTCAATTCCCCTGCTCCTGACTCTCAGGAAACCACTGATCTGATTTTTATCACCACAGATTCATTTTGCCTATTGTAGAATATCATGTAAGTGGAATCAAACAGTATGCATGCTTTTGTGTAAGGCTTCTTTCACTTGGCATGATGTCTTAGAGATTAATCCATGTTGCATGTGGCATGTATCAGTAATTTGTTTTTATTGATAAGGAGTATATTCTGTCATATAAATATAGCAACAGAGAGCTTGTCTGTTTTTTAGTCAATGAACTCTTGTACTGTTTCTAGTTTGGAGCTATTATAAATAAAGCTGCAATGAACATTCTTGGATAATATTTTTGGGACATTTTCTTTTTCTTGAATAAATATCTAGGAGTGGAATTTCTGGGTTATAGGGTAGGTACATATTTAACTTTCTAAGAAGTTTTCTGTGTTCAGAGTCATCGTACCATTTTACATACCCACCAGTTAATCCACATCCTCACCAACATTTGATGTTGTTGTTATTTTCTTATTTCAGTCTGTCTCATGGGAAGGTAAAGGCTGAGTTACTTTCAAGGCATTAAAATACAATAACCACCTGGGTGCGGTGGCTCATGCCTATAATCCCAGCACTTTGGAAGGCCGAGGCAGGCAGATCACAAAGTCAGGAGTTCGAGACCAGCCTGGCCAACATGGTAAAACCCATCTCTACTAAAAATAGAATGATTAGCCAGGCATGGTGGCACATACCTGTAATCCCAGCTACTCGGGAGGCTGAGGCAGGAGAATCGTTTGAACCCGGGAGGTGGATGTTGCAGTGAGCCGTGATTGTACCACCGCATCCAGCCTGGGCAACAGAGCGAGACTCTGTCTCAAAACAAAAAACAAGCAAACCACCCCAGACCTCTAAGGTCTAGAGTCTGGAAATAGAGGACCTGGGTTTGAAGCTTGCTCCAACTCTTCAGGGGTGAGGGCCTGGAAGGCCAAGGCTAGAGTGCAGGAAGATTTGATTCATGAGAATTCTGAAGTCTTTACCCACACCTAAGGCAGATCTCTCACACTTCCTTTTCCTCACTCTCACTCCCTGCATCTATCTGGGCACCAAATCCCATCGACACTCCCTCCCCACTGCTCCTTTTGCAGTTTCCACTCATCACTCCCCAGCTTTTGTGCTTCGTTGTGGTGCTTCATTGTTTTTCCTCTGCACCACTGCAAGTTTCCTAATCACTTGACCTGCCCTGGAGAGGGATCATTCTAAAATGTGGATCTCCTCATAACACAGTCTGGTTTAAACTCCTTCAGTGGCTCCTCATTTCCTGTAAGATTTAAACAAATAACAGCTGATGTGTATTAGGAGCTCAGGCTGTGCCAGGCACTGTATTAAGCACTTGATTCTGTTATTGGATATCTCTTTGAAATAACTATTCGTATTAGCACCATTTATATATGATGAACCAAGGCTTAGAGAGTATAAGTGACTCCCCATAGTCACACATCTAGTCAGTGGCAGAGTTTGGAATCAAACCCAGATGCATTAGACTCCCAAACCTGTGACCTTTACAGATACAGGATAAGCCCTTAATCAAGCTTCTTAGGAAAAGTCTCAACAGGAAGATATACTTCCCAGACGGCAGCGTAAGAAGCAACTTGGGCCCACTCCCCAGTGAAAAAAAGCAAAACTATTGAAAATGAGAAAAAACAAACAACTATGTAAAATCTCTGAAAATTTTCCTAATGGTATAAACAGCAAATGACAAATAATTATCCCAGAAAGTCTACTAAAACTCAGGAAGAACAGTGTGTTTGTGGTATCTGAGCCACAACCACCTGCTCCCTCCCTCTCCCTTTACCTCCTGTCAGCTTGGTGGGTTTGACAGAAGCTGCACTCCCAGCAGGTAGGGACCAAGAAGGCAGGGCCTCCTATACTCTTAGCTCCAGTCAGGCATCACTATATCTCACTGGAAGGGCCAGGCTGCCATCATTTCTCATTCCTTCCAACCTCAAGTTGAAGAGGCTACACTCCTGGTGAAAGCCTAAATTCTCATTCCCCTGAGAGGTCAGGGTCTACCTTCCTCTATCTAGCCAGTCCTCAGGAAATGGAGGCTCTCCCCAAATCAGGGAAGGCTGAAAATACTGGGGTCCTTTTTTCCTCATCTCAACTTGATCATAAAGCAGGGATTCAACATCAGGAGAGGAAAGCTGAGAAGACCAGAGGCTATCTCCCAGCCAGCACAGAGTAGTGGCTCAGATGTTTTGCTAGGAGGAGAGGCAGTCAATAAGAAGAGTGCTCCAGAGCGTTCCAAAGGAACCGACTATTTGAAACAGTGTAGGGAAGTTCAAACCTAAGGGAGCTGTCAAAAACAACAGTTCCTTTTTAACTAAGAGCAACAGGACCAGGCGCAGTGGCTCACGCCTGTAATCCTAGCACTCTGGGAGGCTGAGGTGGGTGGATCACTTGAGGTCAGGAGTTCAAGAGCAGCCTGGCCAATATGGTGAAACCCTATCTCTACTAAAAATACAAAAATTGGCCAGGTATGGTGGCATGTGCCTATAATCCCAGCTACTTGGGAGGCTGAGGCAGGAGAATCGCTTGAATCCAGGAGGCGGAGGTTGCAGTGAGCCAAGATCATGTGCCACTGCACTCCAGCCTGGGCAACGGAGCAAGACTCTGTCTCAAAATAAATAAATAAATAAATAATTAAGAGCAACAGGTTAGACCATGGGCCAGCTAGCTCACCAGAGCTAGCATAAAATAAACTTTGCTTCAAGATCTTGGGATGGGACGTAGGGGTTGGAGTGGGCAGAATAACTGGATGACTTTTCCCCTCTCTAACTCTAAATTCTCAGGAAAATACATCATATCTTGCACTTGGGTGGAAAAGAGCAGAAATCCTTGGTTAACAGGATTATACGCAATGGTGCAGAAAGCATTCTCTAAAGAAAAATCAGAGAGGAAGAAACACTGCATGGAGAATCCAAGAAACACTCTAAGAATTGAAGTTAAAATGTCGGAGGTAAGAAAGTGACAATCCTTGGAGGAATATTTTTGAGCATTAAGCAGGTGAATTAGAAGAAACAGCAATGGCAAGATACAATTAGTTTTTCTTCTTTTCTTCAGAAACACTGAGTATCTATCATGTGCCATATATTGACCTGTAAATGAGGGTGTATAATGATAGCCATTTCTGGCTTGAATTCACACTTGTATGGCAAAGACTATGTGAGGTGTGTAAGCATTTTAGCTTTGCCTAATTTATCTGAAGACCCATTACTTTCCCTAGTGAGATGAACGAAGGTTTTTAACCTTTCAACTATGTGACATGGATATTTCTATTTATCTCAATGAAAATACATTTCTGGAGAATGCTAAAATTCTAGGACAATCGAAATGTAGGAAATCATTAAAAACTGAATTTTATTTTACTGCATATTGCTTATTTTCAGGTTTTGCTAAGTGAGCTTTTCTTTCTTTCCTTCTTTTCTTCTTCCTTTCTCCCTCCCTTCCCTGCTCTCCCTTCCCTGCTCTCCCTTCCCTGCTCTCCCTTCCTTCCTTTTTCTCTTTCTTTCTTCCTTCCTTCCTTCCTTTCTTCTTCCCTGCCTCCCTTCCTCCACAACTATCTACCCAATATTTGGTAAAGAAGAGCAATATTATACAGACGCTAACTACCTAGAAATCCTTCAGCCTCAGAGACAGAAGGGGTGGTGATACGTACAGTGAAGAAGACTGGACCCTTTTTAACTGAAAAAAAAAAAACAAACCAGCAGATAGGGAGAAAGAGAATGATTTTAAATCACAGTTAGCAAATAGACTCAAGAGAACAGTTGGGGTAGGAGCAGGTTATCACTCCAGAAACTTTCTTTCAAACCATTTTGAAGGGAAATGTTTGAAAATGGCAGATAAAGAGCATCAGAGTGAGGGAAGGAGGGCAAAATAGAGGATAAGTACAATCGGGGACAGTAAATTGAGCTATGAAGATTTTATCTTAACATGTAATTGAATATAGTTGAGAATAAAATGATTACTATACAATTATGTATTTCATTTCATGTTCTGTACTGAATATGCAAGCCCAGTCTTAAACTGGGGATGGAGATATGGATTGTTTAGCTCATACAAAAAATTCGAACAATTGTACCCAAATTACAATGAGATTTACAGAAAAAAAATCCCAAAGGACTGTACTTTTATAATTTTCTGCTTTTGTTCTATTGGGAAGGATTTGAGGACATGTGACAGTATTGTAGGAAATGACTTGCAATGGCACTGGGGAAGGATAATGATGTTCTGGGGTGAATGTGGCCCCTGAATGCACCGAGTCAGCCTGCTGCTCCCACACCTGGACTGCAGCTGCACCAGGGAGTCCTCAGTCCTGAAGGAAAGCCCTAAAGCAGGGGCCAGACGCCACTGAATGGTAGTAGAATCACCTGGTGGGCCTTTGCAGCTATCAATGCCTGCAGCTACTCTACACCAATTAAATAGCATCTTTGGGGATATGGACCAGGCACAGCTATTTTCTCAAACCTCCCCAGGTAATTGCAATTTCAGAAAGAGCTGAGAATTAGAAAGACTTGGGAGAAGTAGAACCACAAATGCAATTGCCTGTGGGACTGACTGGAACTGAATAGAGATAAGGTCTGTGGAAAAGGGGCCAGAGAAGATTAAACACAAGAGAGAAGGGCAAGGGAGGTTTCAGACTGAGTGACTGAGGAATGTTCACATTCTGTCCAAAGTGAGAAAGAGAGCTAAGCACTGCTTTTCCCGACACCCTGAAGCCCAGAAAGACAGCACAGGGCCCTGGATACTGTTAGAATTCCTTGAGCAAGGGAATCCTTAAGAAACTTGGAAATACAGTGGACAGTGGTTCCTCCAGACAAAGAACTTGAGTCTTATCACTTCAAAGAACTCCACATATCCAATAGCAAGAAAAGCTTTGAAGAGCAAGATTTCTCCACAGCATAGAGGTGGCTGCTGGGCAGAGCCAACTCTGTTCTTCCTGGAGGAGGTGTGAGCAAGGTAGTGGAGCGAACGGCCCCAAGCGTTAAGCTTTTAGTAAGAAAACAGACCCCAGAGGCTGCAATCTTCAAAAGGCATCTGTGAACTCAACATGGCATTTCAAATAGAGCTGCCAAGTCAATCACAGGACACCTGGGTAAATTCGTATTTCACATAAACAATGAAGAGCATTTTATAATTGTATGGGATATACTTATATTAAAACCTTATTCATTGTTTATCTTAAATTCAAATTTAACTGGGCATCCTGTGCTTTTATTACTAAACCTGGCAACTCTTACTCCCAGTGAGTTTTTAGTAATTTCTAAAATATTTCTGGAAAGTGGGAAATGGCCAAGTCCTGGAACCGGACCCACCTGAGCACCCAGATGAGAGGGACCAGCTGAAAGTGCTGTGAAGTGGTGGTATGATGGGAAAGCAAAGTGTCCAGTCAATACAGCCATCCATGCTCAGTGCGAGCAAAGGGTTCAAAATGGCGACAGAAAGACATAATAATGTCTTCCAATAAGAAGTTCTTACAAAGGGAGGGTGCTCTGGAGTGTGCAGTACACAGTCTTTTTGAATGATAGTCAGTGTAGCAGACATCTGTCTATAGGCTGCAGGGCTCTTGTCCCAGAAAGGGGACAGAGATGATATAAGTAGAAACCCAGAATCAGCAGTGTGCTGGGATCCTAGACCAGAACCTAGAAGTAATGCCCAGGAGGGAAGCTTGATTAGAGAAACGGAGTTACCACATCAGGTCAAAGTAGCAGCAACAGCAACAACAAACGTTATGTGTATGCATGGGTGTGTCATGCATGTATGAGTGTGTCTGTGTGTATATATATGTGTGTGTGTATATGTGCATATCCTTTGAATATCACCTTTGGAACTGGCCTAATGCCTCCTGCCTCAGACCAAAATTGATTCCAGGGACAAAGCACATTGCTGAGCCTGCAGTGAGAATTACCTGGTTCCAGCCATGGGGGAGAGAACATTCGCAAAGGCAGGATGGAGACCTGCGGCCTAAGCTGGCTGGCAGAATCTCTATAGGGTTTGTGGGCATCTTCACAAACAGGCTGGATAAACTGTCATGATTCTTATTTGGCAGTTTATACAGTGGCAAATTGATTTTTTGTTTCTCATGGCTATCCACTGAAAATGCCCAGGGATGCTCAAGGATAACAGAAGAATGTGTGAAATCACTGACTCCTAAGCCTTGTTCTAATGATGATTGGTGACTGCTGGGCAGAGCTGTTGTCGTGCAGAATGGCACAAGGTTGATTTTGCTTAAACAAGCCAGGGAATATACCTAGATGGCCAATCAAGGAATTTTCTATGTGAGAATGTTATTCTAAAAGCCTAATCTCTGTTTGATTTATAATTGTTAAAGATTTCCAGTAGCACAAGAATCCTGTTCTCTCTACATTGAATGCAGGTTCTTCTCATTGGCCATACCTGTAGAAGTGTCAGAGGTTCAACTCAGAAATAGTGAAAACTGGATTTTAACAACACTGTATGGTCTTTTAAACTTTCGTTTGCAAATATTTAAGCAACAATTTCCTTCTTGGTGCTCCGTGAAGCTGGAATAGAACTGAGAGTTCGTGCTTTGTTCAGTTGTGTATAAAATGTAGTAAGGTCACAGTCATTTAGGAAGCAACCCTGGGGCCTCTAAAAACTACTAGGCCGCGCGTAGTGGCTCACACCAGTAATTTCAGCACTCTGGGAGGCTGAGGTGGGCAGGTTGCATGAGTCCAGGAGTTTGAGACCGCCCTGGGCAACATAGATAAACCCCGACTCTACTAAAAATACAAAAAATTAACCAAGTGTGGTAGTGTACGCCTGTAATCACAGCTACTCGAGGAGTTGGGGTGGGATAATCACCTGAGCCCAGGCGGTCGAGGCTACAGTGAGCCGAGATTGTGCCATTGCACTCCAGCCTGGGCAACCAGAGTGAGAACATGTCTAAAAAAGAAAACTCTGGGTGTGGTGGCTCATGCCTGTAATCCTAGCACTTTGGGAGGCCGAGGCAGGAGGATTGCCTGAGCTCAGGGGTTCGAGACTAGCCTGGGAAACACGTTGAAACCCCGTCTCTACTAAAATACAAAAATTTAGCCAGGCGTGGCAGTGTGTGCCTGTAGTCCTAGCTTACTCGGGAGGCTGAGGCAGGAGAATTGCTTTAAGCCAGGAGACAGAGGTTGCACAGTGAGCTGAGATCGTGCCACTGCACTCCAGCCTGGGCAACAGAGCAAGACTGTCTCCAAAAAAAAAAAAAAATTAAAAATTACCCAGGCTTAGTGATGCATGCCTGTAGTCCCAGCTACTCAGGAGGCTGAGGTGGGAGGATTGGTCAAGCTCGAGGCTGCAGTGCGCTGTGATTGCGCCACTGCACTCAGCCTGGGTGACAGAGTGAAACCCTGTCTCAAAGACAAAAAAAAACGAAACCAACCAACAAACTCCACCACCACCAACACAACTCTACTATTTGTGAAGGCTTTTAAGCTGTGTTTGCATCACCCTCCCAAACAGCTCATTTCAATATAAATGATCACTTGGAAGGATCAGTCAAGTTAATTTAACGGCTTGATTTAAATGTACAACAATCAATGAACTGATTTGAAGTTGTATGCTCAGTGAAATGTCTTGAATAGGGCTTTGACTTCCATCAAAGTTTGGCTTTGTAATGCAATAGAATGGTATTGATTATGTTAGATCTTATTAGCAACTTTTGATATCTTTGACCTCCAGTTAGATAGTTAAACATTAGAAATCTGCCTGAATTAAGTACTAAACATGGATAAATTTTGTTCTAAAGTAGTTTCTATCTTTAAGAAGGTACAGAATGGCATAGTTCTGTTCTTCTTATAATTAATAAGAATTAAATGATCGACTGGTTTCTGAAGTTGGATGCTGGATCTATCACAACCTCCTTGAGTATAAGCTAGCAGAATGGCTAGGTAGCAAAGGACCGTAAAAGGGATGCTTGTCATCCGGGCAAAGGTGGCCTTAGAATTAAGAAAGTCTTTGAGTTCCCTTATCTTTTCTCTCACCTTTCTAGTATATACCCAAAGACAAATGTACAGATTATTTTTACTGTTTTTATAATTGAAATACAAAAAAAGAGAAAATTCTGGCAACTTCAGAAACCACCTTGTTAGTTTATTGTGGGTATCCATCATTGTATAAACCAATTTAATAGGGTGCTATGGTTGCCAAAGAGTCTGATCTCCAGATTTTCTCAGCACTTCCCATCTGCTCACACAATAGCCAGAAGACGTTTGCTTTCCTGGAGATAGCATAATGCTTTAAAACTGCCTGAAGAAATCTACCCACCCAAGCTGTTTTAATAAGGTTAAGTGTGTAAAATATTCATCCCACAGGATATATGCCCATATGCCGTCTTATCATTAGTCATAAAAAACAAACACTTAATTATTCCGATCTCTAAGGTCCATCTTTGTGGTTAGGCTCCGAGGGACTCCATGAACCAGGGGGTCTTATTTATCAGTGACAGTGTCTCTATCCAGACTTACTCCATGTTGTCATGGTATTTTATTTGTCTAGCCATCTTGTAAATGCTTATTCCTTGCTGTCAACCATCTCAACATGCTTGGAGGCAGATGGGCCCCTGGCACTCTCCATGGTATTCTTCACATCTCCTCTTGGGCTGTCATATGCTCTCAAACACGCATAGGGAACGCTGAAATTTTGCTCTTTCTTCTAGAGAGTCTAGAGAGCCAGGAAGGAAGTTGTTGCTTACAGACCTGCAATAAGAAGACCATAAACTGTGTCGGGCGCGGTGGCTCACGCCTGTAATCCCAACACTTTGGGAGGCCAAGGCAGGCAGATCACAAGGTCAGGAGTTCAAGACCAGCCTGGCCAACATGAGGAAACCCCATTTCTACTAAAAATACACAAATTAGCTGGGCATGGTGGCCGGTGCCTATAATCCCTGCTACTCGGGAAGCAGAGGCAGGAGAATCGTTTGAACCCGGGAGGCAGAGATTGTAGTGAGCTGAGGTCACGCCATCGTACTCCAGCCTGGGCGACAGGCTGAGACTCTGTCTCAAAAAAAAAAAAAAAAAAAGAAGACCATAAACTGTTGCTTGGAATCCTACTTCCTCGGGCCTCTGAAAGACCCTCCGGTGATATTTCCCTTATGTCCTTATTCACAGTCATCACCCACATTAGGCACTGAATGGAGAGAGAATAGGTGCATGTATCATTAAGATTACATTTTCCCAGAGGCAAAGTTGTCTGCACTTTCTTTTTGCAGTAATTTTAAATCAGCATGCATTTCAAATAGTACATGTATATTTCTACAGCAGACATCTTTATATACCTAGTTAGGTATAATAAAACTATTAGATACCTATTTATATCTTAAATAAAATATATTTATTATTATATATCTATTTAAATTACCTATTAGATACTTTAATATACTATTTATCTATTTTGATCTACTGAATGTATTATTATATACCTATTTATATACCTAGATACCTATTTAAGTGTCTATCTATATTTGTATCTATACATATAGATCTCAAATGATGCCTACCTAAACATTAAAAGCAGTTCTCTCTAGGTGGTATAATTATAGATGGATTTCATTTCCTCCTATCGGCTTTTTGGTAGTTTTAAATTTTTCAACCAAAAATATGCTTTACTTGTGTAATGATGAAAAAAAATGTTAAAACAACCCTTTCTAAACTAAAAACAGGATCTTTATGTGAGTGTAAATGATGTATGACTACCCCAATTATAAAAGCCATGGAAATCCAAAGATAGCCTCACGTCTGTCTCTCCCACAGAATGTACATCAGCAATGCACGCATGTGTTCCTTTTGCGCCGCATCACTGCTTCCCTGAAGAAGCCCGGCTCACACCACAAGGACAACAACAAGCACGCAGGAGAGAGTAGACTGGGGTCAGACAGAGCAATTGCAATCTTCCACTTTGATTTCCTGAGAACATAGTGGTGGGCAGAAACGTGCTATCAAAAAAGAGAGTAGGAAGAAACTAATGTTAGTAAGTGCCTATTTACAGCCTGGGGATTGGATGTGTTTGTTGTATCCTTTTTTCTTTATAATCTGGCATCACTCCTGTTTTGCAGATAAGGAAACTGAGGCTTGGAGAGGTAGATAACTCACTCATTGTGACTCACTAACCTGTTGCAGAGCCAGCACTTGAACTGATTCTAAAAATTGCCACTCTTCCCACTCTACCTCATTGTGTTATGTTTTCCAACTTCTAGAGAAGATAAGGCAGATCCATGCGACACAGACACATGTCAGCCACCTGTGACCACACTGCTTCTCTAGTGCTTTCCTACCGTGGGAGATAAACACCCCCCAGACTCTATCTAAGGCTATGCTTTCATGAGCCTTTTGCTTGCAGACTCACCCAATTAACAAAATTCTTTTGGACTTTTGATAATAAAACCTGTGCATGGAAGATTGAGGTTTTGACATCTACCATAGTACAGTATGTGCTAACTAGGTCACCATCAGTAAAAATTGCCATTTGAAGTGTCACAAAATCTTGCCATGAAATCACTCATGAATCCTTCTAATCCTCCTTTCTTGACCCTGATTGATTACAACTGGAATGAGTAAGTATGGGAGGAATCTTTGATCCACTTTCCAATTGGCCAACTAATTTTGACTTGTACCTTGAATGTGACACTTGACTTGGAAGGATCCCTAAAAACAGGCTGGTCCTACCTCCTAGGCTACGCCCGGAGGAAGACTGTTAGGGCGACTGAGGCATGTGGTAGGAGCTCTCCATGGGTTTGGGAATCCTCTCTTTTTTCCACCTGCAACCTACTTTCCAGCAGCCGCCACTCAACATTGACAGAGGACAGACTCTAATACTGTCTCTTCTCATGTTTGAAGCTCCAATTATCATCTCTTCTCCAGGCAAAACTTGTAGTTACTTGAAGCCTATATAAGATTGAGTGTTTATTATGTGTTTTCCTTGTATTCTCTCTCTCCATTCTCACACATCTTATGGAGAAGGCACCATGGCTTCCAGGCCCCTCTCCATCCTGGTCAGCCTTGTTTAACCATGTTATAATTTGACAAAAGTATCTTAATACATGGGGCCTGTCATCTAAAGTTAATCAAGTAAAAGGTTATTAATCTCACCTGTTTCCCTTCAATTTCATCCTTTCACAATGGTATGTCTATAAATCTCCCTCTGTTCCTGTCTCTTTCCCTCCCTCCCTCTCTCTCTCTTTTTCTGCCTCTTTTGCCCAAAGTGTAACGTATTCCACATGCACAATATGGAAGTGTTCTTTTTTCACTAAACATATATCATGGATTTTCCTCTTGGTTAATGTATACAGATCTATTTTCAGAAGCTGAACAACAGCCATTATTTGGATGTAACATAATTAACCATTTTCTTCTTGAGGAATATTCCGGTTGTTTCTTTTTCTTTTTCTTTCCTTGTGTGTGTGTGTATGTACACTTTACCTTCCCTCCTTTTTTCATTCCTTCTGTCAACTGAAAAATCACACAATGTATACATTTAGAAAGGAGGCTTTATTTTTTATAAAGGCTTAGAGCCTGCAGGGTCCTGACAGGCTGGGAGGTGTAGCCTCCGGTAGAGGCCATGAGCAAGCACTGTGAAGGCGGAAAGGCGAGACAGGAAGGTATGCCACAGAGAGTTCATTCTGTCAGTCCTATGATCTCTATGTTAACATTAATTCTGGGCTGTTGTGGCTAAACTGCAAAAGGAAAGGTGCTTAATGAGGCCTGCCTGACCTCCCACCCCATCATGTTTTTAAGATTTTTCCGGGGTCCCCTTGGCCAAGAGAGGGTCTGTCCAGTTGGTTGAGCGGCTTAAGATTTTATTTGTAGTTCTCACTTTCTTCCCTGTCCCCCTATTCCCTCTTTCTTTCTTGAAACTCAATATATAAAGTTGCAATAAGCATCTAGCTCTTTTCCTTTTGTCTTTTGGCACTGTTATTTCTATAACATACACAAATACTGCCAAGAAGCCAAAGTTTGTACCTCCTTCACCAACGTAAGCAGGTACTAATTTTTTCTACAACCTTAACAGTGACAGACATTATTACAAATTTTAAATTTTACCTAGTAGTTTTTTAAAGTTTGCCAATTTTTTATTGCATTATTTGTCCTTTTTGCATCAATATTTAGAAGGCTTTGACTATGAAGAATATTAACTGTTTGGTTGCCATATGTGTGTTCAATAATTTTTCCTACTATTTGATTTCTGGCATTATCTATGATATCTTTCATTATACAGAATATTTTAAATTCATATAGTTATATATGTCCTATATTTTCTTTATAAATCTTGAATTTCCTGTCATGTGTAAGAATGTTTTACTCATCCCAGGGTTATACAAATATTTGCCTACATTTTCTGATACTTTTATTGGTCAATTGCTGCATTTAGATCTTTCATTTATCTTAGGTTTGTTTTTGCACATGGAGTGAAATTGAAATCTACTGTATTTTATTCCTGACAGATAAACAATTAAACATCTTTTTTCTCACTGCAAATAATGTCACATTGATTATATATTCTTGGTATTCTTTCTTGTCTTTCTGTTCTAGTTCATTGATCTAATCATCCATTTCTTTGTCAACCCCTTACTATTTTGATTAGGGTTATTATAGTTTTATCTGGTAAGGCATGTTCCCCACCCCTCCAAACTAGTTCCAGAAAACACCAAATGCATTGGCATTCCGATTGAGATTACCTTCAAAATACAAATTCATTAAGGGAGATTGTTTTTCAATGGTAAGTTCTCCCATTGGGCACGAGGTAAACTTCCCAGTTCATTTTGGCTCTGGTTTTGTGCCTTTCAATGAGATTTTATAGCTTGCTTCAATGGGTTCTGCCCCCTCTTGCTAAATTTTAAAACTATATATAAAATTAAAACAGCTTTTTGAGATTCTGTTCAAGATTCTAAACTCTCTTCTTTACACTAGTGCCTCTTAAAACCACCTTCATTGGAATCACATTGTAAAACACTTATAAAAATGTATATTCTGGCTGGGCGCAGTGGCTCACGCCTGTAATCCCAGCACTTTGGGAGGCCAAGGCAGGCGGATCCTGAGGTCAAGAGATCGAGACCATGCTGGACAACATGGAGAAACCCCGTCTCTACTAAAAATACAAAAATTAGCTGGCGCACGCCTGTAGTCCTAGCTACTCAGGAGGCTGAGGCAGGAGAATCACTTGAACCCGGAAGGCAGATGTTGGCAACAGAGTGAGACCCCGTCTCAAAAAAACAAAAAAGTATGTTCCTATGTCCCCCAAAACTTAAGTCAAAATCTCTGGGTGTGCCCTAGAAACCTGCATTTAAATGAATTCTTACAGGTGTCACCTGTGTACACTGAAGGCCGAGGGCATTGCTTTGTCTACTTTACCCAAATAAGACCAAACATGCAACCTCTCCACACTTCCCTGTTTAACTGAGTTGGAATAGATCAGTTTCCAACACCTTCTCCCACTTGAACTTTTGAACAACCCCATCCCACTGCTTTGGGGGCCATGAGAACTGATGTGTGCCTCTCAGGAGGAGCATACCAGCATCTGTCAGGATACATTTTTAAAATGAGCTGATAATGCCTAAGACCATCATTGTTGATTCTGGCAAGGCTTCAAATAGCAGCAACCAGCAAATATTTCGCCCTTCCCGTGGTTTCTGGCAGTGTTGCAGCTGTTGCCTCATCTAGTGAACATGCCGGGCCTAAGGGCAAACAGACACTTAATTAGGTTAGGGTGAGCTTCAAAAACTCGAGAGTAGGCATAGCAGTAATGACCACCACACTTTCTCACTAAGAATACTCAATGCGTGCAAAGAAATAATTATCCCAAGAAGCCATGGTTTCTTTCCTCTACCCCCCACCTTTTTTGGCTGTTTTATTTGAGATCCATGACCTGATAGAATTACTCATTCAAAGAATGCAGTGGTGTTCAATCACACAATAGGAGCCATGCTCTATGAAATACCTGAAAGCCAGTGTTGGTCTTTAGATGTGAGTTTCAGCATGAGCTGAGTTTCAACAACGCTTGGTATCAACAGCAGAGTCCTATTAACAGAAGAAAAACAGTCCAATCCTGGCCTGACAGAAAAATCAAGGTGAACATGCTCTTTTTCTTCTTTTTTTTGAGACAGAGTCTCTCTCTGTTGCCCAGGCTGGAGTGCTGTGGTGCAATCTCGGCTTACTGCAATCTCCGCCTCCCGGGTTCAAGCAATTCTCTGCCTCAGCCTCCTGAGTAGCTGGGATTATAGGCACCTGCCATCATGCCTGGCTAATTTTGGTATTTTTAGTAGAGATGGGGTTTCACCATCTTGGCCAGGCTGGTCTTGAACTCCTGACCTCGTGATCCACCCGCCTCGGCCTCCCAAAGTGCTGGGATTACAGGCATGAGCCACTGCCCCTGGCCCAAAGTGAACATGCTCTAACCAAAAAGAGACTCAGTTTTCTTAAAAAATTCATGCTTGGTTGGTCAGACCATGCCCAGTGGGACCATTGTGGACATTTTCAACATAGTTGACTATATATTTTATTGATTGTTGTTGTACAAAATGACAACCATCTGCTACCTAGAAGCAAGGATCTCATATGGTCAAGCTGGAATTCAGGGGGCATCTTTTGTCTTTTGAGACTGACCAGAGCAGCAGTACTTCTTTCTGTCCTTCATCTCAGTCACAGACTGAGGGGACCGCTGGTCCATCAAGGGCCAGAGGAAACTAGATCACAAATGCACATGTGTGCACATACATATTCATCTATTCTAGCCTCCATTTATTTGGTTGTCTCATTGCCTATGCTATTTCTTATTTCATTGTGGTGTGTGTGTGTGTGTGTGTGTGTGTGTGTGTGTGTGTGTGTTATGCTGTTATGATGGCTTTGTGGTTTGTCAATTCAGCTAGGCTAGGGTACATTCCCCAGAATTTCCCAGTATGTGAGAGGGGTGGGCTATACCAGATACTCTCTCATAAAGGGTGGAAGGGAAGACGCAGGCATTCTGTAGCATGCACGCACTTTCTCCTAGGTGCTTCTGTGAAGAGACTTCACAGATATAAATAAAGTCCTTAATCAGTTGACTTTAAATTAGGGAGATTATCTTGGGTGGATTTTAATCAATTGAAATGCCTTAAAAGAGGACATATGTCTTTCTGTGTCCGGAATTGGTGGGTTCTTGGTCTCACTGACTTCAAGAATGAAGCCGCGGACCCTCGCGGTGAGTGTTAACAGCTCTTAAGGTGGCGCGTCTGGAGTCTGTCCCTTCTGATGTTCAGATGTGTTCGGAGTTTCTTCCTTCTGGTGGCTTCGTGGTCTCGCTGGCTCAGGAGTGAAGCTGCAGACCTTCGCGGTGAGTGTTACAGCTCTTAAGGCAGCGTGTCTGGAGTTGTTCGTTCCTCCCGGTGGGCTCGTGGTCTCACTGGGCTCAGGAGTGAAGCTGCAGATCTTCACAGTGAGTGTTACAGCTCATAAAAGCAGCGTGGACCCAAAGAGCGAGCAGTAGCAAGATTTATTGCAAAGAGCGAAAGAACAAAGCTTCCACATTGTATAAGGGGACCCGAGCGGGTTGCCAATGCCGGCTCGGGCAGCCTGCTTTTATTCTCTTATCTGGCCCCACCCACATCCTGCTGACTGGTAGAGCCCAGTGGCCTGTTTTGTCAGGGCGCTGATTGGTGTGTTTACAATCCCTGAGCTAGATACGAAGATTCTCCATGTCCCCATCAGATTAGTTAGATACAGAGTTTCGACACACAGGTTCTCCAAGGCCCCACCAGAGCAGCTAGATACAGAGTGTCAATTGGTGCATTCACAAACCTTGAGCTAAACACAGGGTGCTGATTGGTGTATTTACAATCCCTGAGCTAGATATAAAGACTCTCCACGTCCTCACCAGAGTCAGGAGCCCAGCTGGCTTCACCCAGTGGATCCCGCACCGGGGCTGCAGGTGGAGCTGCCTGCCAGTCCTGCGCCGTGCGCTCGCGTTCCTCAGCCCTTGGGTGGTCGATGGGACTGGGTGCCGTGGAGCAGGGGGTGGTGCTCGTCGGGGAGGCTCGGGCCACACAGGAGCCCATGGAGTGAGTGGGAGACTCAGGCATGGCGGGCTTCAGGTCCCGAGCCCTGCCCCGCGGGAAGGCAGCTAAGGCCCAGCGAGAAATCGAGCACAGTGCCGGTGGGCTGGCACTGCTGGGGGACCCAGTACACCCTCCGCAGCTACTGGCCCGGGTGCTAAGTTCCCCATTGCCTGGGGCCAGCAGGGCTGGCTGGCTGCTCTGAGCGCGGGGCCCACCAAGCCCACGCCCACCCGGAACTCCAGCTGGCCCGCAAGCGCCGCACGCAGCCCGGTTCCCGCTCGTGCCTCTCCCTCCACACCTCCCTGCAAGCTGAGGGAGTGGGCTCCGGCCTTGGCCAGCCCAGAAAGGGGCTCCCACAGTGCAGTGGGGGGGCTGAAGGGCTCTCAAATGCTGCCAAAGTGGGAGCCCAGGCAGAGGAGGTGCCAAGAGCAAGTGAGGGCTCTGAGGACTGCCAGCACGCTGTCACCTCTCATTTCCTGGAAAGAGAGCAAGCAGTTCCTCTCTGTGGACAGTAGTTTTAGTCCATGCATGTGGTGTGTGTGCATTGTTTTTGTTTGTGCGTCTGGGGGGGGGGGTGTTGTGTTTGTATGTGATATATGTATTGTATGGTATGAGTATGCTGTTTGTGTATATGTGTCGTGTCTGGGGGGTGTGTGTGGTGTATATGCGCATGCACACTTCACCCTGCACACTAGACCAGAAATAAAACCAGGTTCATTTTCAAGACCTATTCCAGATTGAGCCCAAGGCCTTCCTGGTTCATTCTCAAACTGGGTTTTAGTGAGAGATACCAACATAAAATTGGGGTTGCTTGACCCGATATATCGTTATTCATCTGATGTCCAATTTATCAGTTGCTCAATTTTCCAGTCATTGTGGCATAAAATGCAAAACTATTCATGCAGAAACATTCACTGAATTCAACAGATCTTGGAATATTTGATCCCCTCAGGCCATCACCTGTCACAGATACGACAGATACATTAGGCTGTTTGCAAGTGAGAGAATTATATAGCATTTTAAAAATACCAAGAGAGGATCAAGTTTGTCAGGAATAAATTTTGTGTAATAACTTCTATGAAGAGAAGCTGATGTGTTCAATGGAGATTGACAAAGGAAGCCTAAATTGAAGGGGAAGCCTGACAAAATGACGGGCAGTTGCCCAGTCTATTCTGGAGAATAAGCAGGCCACTGCTCCTAGAATGGCAGCCTGCAGGACTGAGTGGACTGTGAACCTCCAAGAAGATACCCAGGCTGCTCTCTGTGCCTGCTGGAGCTTGCCACTGGAATGAGAGTCTCTGTTCTTTGTCTCTCTAAATACGTAAAGGAAGGGCTCTGTCTTCCATGACAGCTGACCACACAACAGGGTCATCTTTTCCAGACCAGTAAGATAATGTTGGCAGAAGGTTTTAGTCTCTTAAGAACAAAAGTGATGTGCATATGTAGGAATGGATTAACAACCACGGGGAGCGGATCCCTGCTTCTCAGATCTAACTCATTAAATATCGTGATGTAACTGCTGGCTCCCACTAATAAAACACAGATCCCAGTCAACACAGCCTAATAAGATAATCCTTTCTATTATGATAATATCTTTGAAATGAGTTTTTAATTATTATTTTTACAAAGCATCTGCAGGTGTTTAGCCTATCACGTTGGCCCATTAGCTGAGCAATCCCAAACTGAGATTTTATTATTCTTATTACTACTATTTTTGCTAGAGGATATAGCGCCTTCTTCATTAACTGTAGATCATTTCAACAAGGAATTCTTTTGACTGTATTTAAGTGCAGAGTTTTCTTTTTGCCCCCTTCCTCTTTTCCTAGCTTAAGCCAAAATTTTTAAATATGCAAATAAGACTGCCTCCCCCACCCTACATTAATAGCTGTATCCTCAAATAGTGTCTCTGCTCGTGCCTGTTGAGGCAGCTCTCTGGGCCATTACCCTAGAAGCATGCTGCCGCCTGTTCAGTAAGAGGAGGATGGTTCTCATCTTAAGTAGGCTGGGCCCCACTCCATGGCATGGCTCTTGAGAATCGTTAGGAGATGGGGAGATGGGATGGTTAGTGACAGCAACTCCAGTCTGACAAGGTGGTTAGCTCATTGCTCATTCTTTTGTTCCTTTGACAGCTGTTGAAGGAATGGAGGGATGAAAGAGGCTTGCTCCAGGGATGTAGGCATGAGCTGGACCATGCCTGGCAGAAGCAGCAATGTGGGGAGAGCCCGAGGCAGTGTGAGGGCTGCAGCTTTGCCTCCTCAAGATTGCCACGGGGACCCTTTCTGAAAACCAGCAGGTGTCCGTAGACAGGACTTAAAATGTCAAGATGTCAGTATCACAATTTAGGGATTGGGGAGAGAGGAAAATTATAATAATTGCTGTGGAGTTTAATCCACATGGTACAAACGGGCAGCCTGTGACCTAAGTGTGACCCATGGACATTTTTTGGTTTTCCCCCACAGAGTTGAGCCACATTGTATTTTTTTAAAAAATATATATTCAATTGTGCATTACCACTTAAAGCAGATTTCACATAACATTTTCAAATTCCAGCTGACCTCAAAGAATCAGCAAATGTGGTCACCCTGGGTGCATGCTCCTACATGCAACAATGGCAGGTGCTGGGCTGCAGGAACTCCTTTCCACGGAATGGAATTCTCCGCTGGGGCTGCAGGAACTCCTTTCCACAGAATGGAATTCTCCGCTGGGGTAGTTCCCACTCCTCTCTGCCATCTCCCCAACACGGAGCTCACGCGTCTGCTCTCTGTCCCTGTACATGCACTGTTTATTGCACTGAAGATGAGGAAGACATCACCTTGTAGGAAGTGACAAGCAGTCACACAAGCTTAAAATGCAAACAGAGAATGTTGAAAGAACACAACATAAGGTGCTTTTATGAAACAACTTTGACCACTCTACCCATTTACATTATTATGATTTCCCCAGCCTTGATGGTATTAGGGGTTTTGAACCATATTTTTACTGGATTTGGGGACATCTTTTTTAAATGGCATAGAAGACAGGTGTGTTTTGATAGAGGTGGGCATTGTGAGAATGTCCAGGGCAAAAGTTCTGCCAGGCAGGGGCCCTGAGACACCTGGGGAGGGCACGTTTCTGAGCTCACAGAAGAAGGGCTTCTGGAATTCAGGAGGAGGTAGGGTGGCCAACTGTCCCAGTTTTCCGGGATCTGAGGGGTTCCTGGAATGCAGAACTTTCAGTGCTAAATACAGGAAAGTCCCTGCTCTATAGGGGTGGTTGGTCAGGCTAGGAGGAGGCTCAGCAAAGTGGTCAAGGGATCACTAGAATGAGCCCTGCCTTCTTCACAACTTTGTCCGGAGAGAAACTCAGTGGTTACTCCTCTCACTCTCTTGGGCCTAGACGTGGCTGGTTCCCTGGGACCCTGGAGTCTCACTTGTCACTAAGGACTGTGCATACATAATGCTGGTGTGCCTAATTCCCTTAGTGTTCTGTGGAACAGATCTGGCCTGGGTTTAGGCTTGGAGTTCCTTTGAGAAATTCAAATGGTTAGTCAATTTGGTTTGCTTCTAGCTCATAAGTTCCCTGGAGTCTCCCTGAGCTGGAGAAAGAGGGGCTGGGAGCCATTGACAGGCATGTTGGGTGCTAAAAAGGACAAGCATAACACTAAAATAAAGTTGCTTGGCCTGAAATATTGTTATTCATCTGGTTTCTAGTTTACCAATCACTCTACCTGAAGATTCCCTGAAGAGTCATTTTAAAGAGAAAACGATTAGTTACCCTCGGCAGAAGAGGATCTGTAGCATCACCTCTTTTCAGGGTCATTTTCTCCATGTCAAATGGCTGTCCCCCAAGCCTCCCCTTGCCCAATCCCCATCCTTCCCTATTTGGACACAGCCCAGCATTCGCCTCCCTAGTGATTCCTTCCTAGCCCAACTCCACCTGGCTCAGTCACCGCCATCAACCTCCTGGTCCCCTGGGCTCCCCTGCATCCTGATGACCGAGCACCATGTTCATATGTAATTCAGATTTCACTACATTGGAATATCTGATAAGTCTATCTGGGCTCAGCTGAGTTTTATTGTGGCTTATATTTTATGAAAAAAGCCTTTCACAAAACAAACGAATACTGACAACAAAATTACATGCACGTTTGCTTTAATAAAGAGGACAATCTGCCAAAATTCTCTTCATGCTTTGGGGCCTACTTCAAATCCCTTGACATCTGTAATAAGTCTGGCACACAATGCAGGCTGGATGCCTTCTCTTTCCTCTTCTGGAAACCTTCCCTCATCATCATCCAGGCCTAATTGACCTCTCCCTCCTCTGATCTTCATGGCGGTTTGGGGCCTGGAACTTCTTTGAGTGTGAACTTGCTCCTTCTGTAGTCGATTTTTCCCAGTGTGTACCATACACCTTTCCCGGGTCACTTCGGATGCCTTGGTTTCACCCACCTCTGGTGTCTTCTACCTGCAGAACCGTGAGCCAAACAAACCTCTTTTCTTTATAAGTTACCCAGCTTCAGACATTCCTTCATAGCCATGCAAAGGTACTAAGACAGCTTCTGCCTAAGATTTCACTGGGGAAAAGTAACTCCGTTGCTGAATTGTGTCTTTGGCCTCTTTCTGAACCAGTCACCACGTGGTGACCAGCTCTGCACAGGCTGTGACCAACTCCAGTCAGCACAGCCCCACCGTGGCTCACTCATGCCTGGAGCCTATGCCCTGTGTCTCCTTCCCAGTTGATGCTGAGACATGAGCTGTTGCATGACCCACAAGGTGACCACACATGCTCAACCTAAAGTGTGGGGGACACTCTGCAGAACAATTTATGACCAACAGGAAACAACAGCCAAAGGATGAATTCTTCCCGCCTTTCTGTCTTCGGGACCCATTGCTCTGAGACATATTTAGCCTTATAGCCTCTGAAAAGATGGCCTCGTGTGACCGAGTAGTCAGTAGAGGTTGGTTGGTAGTGCATCCTGCTAGGGGCTCCCCATCTTTCCCTTTGCTCTTTCCTGCATCCTGGTAGGAGAATGCCTAGTACGACAGTTGCATGTTAACTCTGGCCTCAGGTAGTATTTTTTGGGGAACTCAAGCATATATTTTTCATATACTCCCCCCTTCAGTCACTTTCTTCCTACCTTTTTTGAAAGTGTCTTGAAGCCAAGTTAAGATGAAAACATGGAGGTTAATCCCAGGGATCAGTAAATGGGCAACTTGTTGAGTCTGTGTATGGCTTGGTTCAGGGGGAGGAGCCACAAGGGCAGGATACAGAGAACAAATGGATGAACTGCGGTGTTCGTGGGTCTCATCACACACGGTACTTAGAGTTTTCTCTGTTTTTGTTTTCAACCAGGCTATTCTGGAAGGTTTAGAGGAGGCTGGGCATCTTCAGCAAAAAGATGATTGCCTGGGGCGTCAGTTTCAGTTTTGAAAATGTCACTGGAAGGAAAACCTCAAGTGATACTGTGGCTGTTTCTCCTGCATGTTTTTCCCCAGCTCTTAATTGTAGAATTTTGCCTTATTCTACGATGGGAAAATATACATGCCGCAGAATTTACCACATTAATTATTTTTTGGTGTACAGTTCAGTGGCATTAAGTTCATTCACATTGTGCTGCGACCATCAGCACCATCCATCTCCAGAACTCATTCATCATCCCGAACAGAAACTCATACCCATTTAAGACCAACTCCCCATTCCCCCTCCCACAGGCCACCATTCTACTTTCTGTCTCTATGAACCTGACTACTCTAGACCTCATATTAGTAGAATCATACAGGATTTGTCTTTTTATGACTGGCTTATTTCACTTTGCGTAATGTCCTCAAGGTTCATCCACGTTATAGCATGTGTCAGAATTTCCTTTTGGTTTAAGGCTGAAAAAAATCATAGGATTTCAAAGCTTAAAATTCTAAAAGTTTTCCTCTGGTCACTGAGAGGAAAATCAGTGGGGTGTTGACAATGCCATGGGTGGACTGAGACCCCTCTGAGGCTGCTGCCTGAGTGACAGTAGGGGTTTACTGGGCTCGGGGAGGGGGCAGAGCTACTGTCTTCATCCACCCAGTACTGGGTTCCTAATATAGTTTGGATATTTGTCTCCTCCAAGGATCTTGAAATTCGATCCACCATGTTGGAGGTGGGGCCTGGTGGGAAACGTTTCGGTCCGTAGGGGCAGATCCTTCCTGAATGACTTGGTGCCATCCCCAAGGTCATGAGTGATTTCTCGCTCTATTAGTTCCTATGAGAGCTGCTTGTTAAAAAGAGCCTGGCACCTTCCCCCCTACTTCTCTCTCACTTCCTCTCTCTCTCATCATGTGATCTCTGCACGTGCCTCCCCTTTGCTTTCCACCATGAGTGGAAGCAGCCTGAAGCCCTCCGCGGAAGTGGATGCTGGCACCATGCTACCTCTATGGCATGCTGAACCGTGAGCCAAACAAACCTCTTTTCTTTATAAATTACCCAGCCTCAGATATTCCTTCATAGCAATGCAGATGTACTAACAGAGCTTCTGCCTAAGATTTCACTGGGGAAAAAGAATTCTGCTGCTAAAAATAGCTTGAAAACCTTTAGTCACTTACTTCTTCTCCTTTTGCCTTTCCTTACATTTCTACATTCTCTGCCATTTTGCTCCCCATCTAATGATAGTTCCTGAGTCTATGTCATCCTGGCTCTGAAAAAAAGCCAAGAACCTACTGCCATTCAGACCTCACCATGGATAAAAAGAGGGATCCCACTCTGCCCTGGTTCAGAATGGGTGTAAACATGGCACCAAGGGTGATTTATGTCAGTTCCAAGCACACCGCACTACTAAAGAAACAGCACTGTTGTGAGATCTGTTCAGTGGACCTGAAAATTAACTTCACAGCTGAAACTGAACCTACTTAACACTTTTCCTCCCAGTGCCTACCCGGACTCCTCTCACACCAGGAAGAAAATCAGAGAGTGTAATAATTACAAATAGAAATGTCACAAGGTCCAAGCTGTCGGAATCAAATCCAGACTTATATCTTCCTTCATAGACCTAGTGGGCTACATAACTATACTCCCTGCCTTTCTTCCAAACACACCCTAAACTCTCCTACTTTTTTTTACTGGATAAACATGTTTTCTTCATCTGAGAAGGGCTCCGTCTGCAGCATCCACCTACCACAGCCTGGACCAAGGGCCTGAAATGATGTTTTCACCTGGAGGTCCAGCTCCATCTGGGTCCTAAAGCCTGAGAGTCAAGCCTGGTCAGTCATTAGAATTCCTTCCTGACCAGCCGTGTGGGACCCCCTGGAAATAGTCATCCTCCCTTGTCCCCAGAGTCCAGGGAGCTCCAGGAAGGATCCGGCACCTTGGGTTCCCAAATGGCAAGCAGGCTGCAGCTTGTCAATTCTACACAATCTGGGGGCAGCTTGTCTCCAAACTGGCATTTTGATGCAGAATCCTGGCAATTAGAATCTCTCTCCAGCCTTAATAGGGATGTGTGTTATGCCTGATCAGGAATTGAAGACTGGGGGAATGTAGAAGGGTTTGGCCCTAATGCCTAGTTTCTGCTTAGTAACTTTCCTTTATACTCTACTTCAGACAAAACTCACTGTTACATCCTGGGATGTCATTGCCATAAACTTTAGTGAATGCTCTGCCCATTACAAGACCATTGTGCAAACTTAATTCCAAAGGATACCTTAACAAAGATGGCTCATTTTTTCCATGATTGTGAATGAATGAATGAGTAGGAGGGGCCTCAGCCACAGTCAGTTTAACAGCTCTTTCATCAGAGAATTCTCCTGTCTCCTGGACTTCCAACTGACATCAGCCAGTACTTTTGTGCCCAGGGTCTGATGGCCCAAAATGAATGGACTAAGTGGACATTCAGTAGCAAGGTGTTGCACCACCTACCTGAGTGATAATTTGATTTCAGCTTCTGCCGACCCACATTTCACTTCCAACTCTCTTGTCTCTAGTGATTGTCTTTGGCTCTGTTTGGTTCTTCCCCTGGTCACCTGGTAATTGCAGCTGATACTTATATGCTTGAGCTCCAGGATGCTTGGGCAGATTTGCAGGGTATCTTGTTAGGTGCTTTAAAAAGGCAAATGGCGGGCTCCAGAGGACCTTCCCATTCCCTCCCTAAGAAACCAGCTGCACCTTTCTCCTAATGTCCTGTGTCCCTGTTAACCTCATTTCCCACGCAAAGTCCAAGCCTCCAGGGTCTTCCAACAACACTTAGACTTTTGTCTCCATATGGCTTCTTTGCACATCCCTTAATCTGACCCAAGTTCCCAGCTCTCTTCAATCCTCTAAACCTCTGCGCTGAGCTCTATAAAAGTATTGGTTTGTTATCAGTTTAAATCTTCTATATTCTTTTTTTTTTTTTTTTTTGAGATGGAGTCTCGCTCTGTCGCCCAGGCTGGAGTGCAGTGGCGAAATCTCGGCTCACTGCAAGCTCCGCCTCCCAGGTTCATGCCATTCTCCTGCCTCAGCCTCCCGAGTAGCTGGGACTACAGGCGCCTGCCACCACGCCTGGCTAATTTTTTTTTTTTTTTTTGTATTTTTAGTAGAGATGGGGTTTCACCGTGTTAGCCAGGATGGTCTCGATCTGACCTCATGATCCACCCGCCTTGGCCTCCCAAAGTGCTGGGATTACAAGTGTGAGCCACCGCGCCTGGCTTAAATCCTCTATATTCTTAACTGCTTCAATAAAAGCTCTCTCCCGTTGCTTTCTCCTTTTTTAGTCTTTATTTTGTTTATAATTGGCATATAATAACTATACTATGGGGTATAGTGTCATTTTCCATACATGTATAAATTGTGTAATGATCAAATCAGAGTATTCAGCATATTCATCACCTTAAACATTTATCATTTTCTTATGATGAGAACATTAAAAGGAAGGATGGGGAGAGATTTGTTAATGGGTACAAAGTTATAGTTAGATAAGAGGAATAAGTTCTGGTGCTCAGTATATTGTGAACTATAGATGCCCATGGTTAACAATATTGCATCGCCATCTCTCTCCTGTTTCTTGCTGCAACTGAAACACAGCGCCCCCAGAGGACTCCGCTTCCTCTTCAGCCCTCTTAAACTGTAGCTTGCTTTGTTTCTCCCATACTCCATGCACTTGGACCTGGAGTGACACAAGTGCCTTCTTGTTCCTCATTGCTCCTTGCAGACCATTTCTTCTCTCCACTGGAAAACAAAAGCAAACAAAACAAAACAGGAAACAGCCCAGATCCTTGAAGAAAATGCCATCTGATTATGCTGTCTGCCACTACTCCTCCTTTTTTCAGTCATTCAACTTGCAGCCATGCACCCTAATGCATTAATGATCTTATACCTATCCCACTGCCTTCGCTCTCCCTCAATTCCTGTCTGCTTCTTGGCAACATCAACGTTCACATCGACAAGCATCCCAAACCCCGAGCCCCTGAGATCCTTCCCCTCCTTAATTCTGCCCCATCCCAGCCTCCCATCTCATGGTCATAGTCTGTCTTGTCATTATTCAGACCAGATCAGCTCTAAAACCTTGATTTCCAACATTTCATTCTCTAACCAGAGCCTCTCTCACTTTTAGGCTCACCTGTCCTAGGTTCTCACTCCAAAAATTCTTTGCTTTGCTGGGACCTCTGATCCTTTGGTCCTTCAGACCACTGTCTGTCCGGATCTCTCCTAATAGCGTCACTTCCCTCCCATCTAGTTTAGATTTCATGGCCCATTATTATAATTTCTCTTCCCCTGTCACACTCACTAGTCAAAACCCCAAATGTAGTTAATTCTGCCTCTCCACTTCCCCAACCCCTGCATCTGAGCCCCTGACTGTAGCTGCAAAACAACACAAGGACATGCTGATGGATCTTGCTTTAACATTATGAACACAGAGCCCCAGGAGGTCCTCATCATGCCTCGAGATCCTACTACACTGTCCTGGCCATGCCACCCCTCCTCTCCGTGATGATCTCACTTTAAGAAAGTAGAAGCTCACAGGAGAAAATGTCTTCATTCACTCATCACCAAATCCATATGTATCCTGTGGTTCCACAGGATACGTGTTTTCCTTTCACTGTATTGTTACAGTGGATGACAATAAGAAAAAAAAGAGCTAACATTTATTCATTGTTTCCTAGTCCACATACAGTTCTAAGTGTTTTATATGCATTAATGCACTTAATCCTCATCAAACCTTGTGTAATAGATACAATGATCATTTCTACTTCTCAGGTAAGGAAACTGAGGCATGAGGAGGTTAAGTTACTTGAGTGAATGGTGTATGCTTTTATCTGAAAAGACAACTCCTCCATTTGTTCCATAAGTTTCCCTTCCTGTTTCTTGGTCATTGCTTCTTTTCTGATAGATCATTCCTATTATAGAAATTTCCTGAAATATCTTCCCTGTTAAGTAAAATTATGTCCTTGTACCCCAGTTATTGGTTCATTTCTCTGCTCTCTCTGATAGTTAATGCCTTTGAGGAGAAGTTCACTTTTCCCCTGAACCCACTCCAGCCAGACTTCCCAGACCCATCACTTCAAGGAAACCCTGGTATCAAGATTGCCAATGACCTCCACGTTTCCCAATCCTGTTCTTCTCTGCGTCTCAGTGCTGTTGAACACAGCAACCACCCACTTCTCTCAACTTCCTGGGAGGCTGCTTGATCTTGGTTCTCCTCCCACCTCACTGGTAGCTACTTCTCAGACCCTTTGCAGGTTCCTTCTCATCTTCCTGACCTGGGAATATCACAGTCTTAGGCCTGTCTCTCTTTTCTTTCTATACTCTAAATCCTCTTTCTTCATCATAGCTGTAAATACCATCTATTCACTCAGGAATGTCAAAGTTATTTCTCTGGCAAAGACCTTTCTAGAGTTCCAGAATCTTACATCTAAGCGTTCATTCAAACTCACTTGGATGTTGAGTAGACATCTCAAACTTGACCCGTTAAACACTGATGATGCCCCATCTTTCTTCCCAGCCCATCTTCTTCACTCCAGTGGAAGATACCATCAGACACTCAGGCCTAAACCCTTGGCATCTCGATCAATTGGTCTTAATTCCCCTCTCTTCTTGCATGCCCACCTTTTATCCCCAATATCCAACCCATCAGCATGTATTGTCATCTCCATCTAAAATATACCACCCTTTCCACCACCCGTTAGTCCAAGCCATCAAACAGGTCAAACAGCCACCTGACAATCTGTCTGCTTTCATTTCTGCCTCCTCCCACCCCATTATAGTCCCATATCTGACAGCAGCCAAAGCATTTCTTTTAAAAAATAGAATAAGGCATGTCTCTCCTTTATTTGGTATTCTGCAATGCCTTCCAATACACTGATTTTTCCCTCCAAATTCTTACCAGGACTTACATGGGCTGGTTGTCTCTTCTACCCCAGATCCTATATGTCATCTTCTTGCCCACTCCACACCATCCACTCTGACCTCTTTGCTGTTCTTCAAGGACGCACAAAGTCATGGTGTCCTCAGGGCCTTTGCGTTACTGTTTCTTCCTTCCTACCCCTCACCCCCTCATATTTGTATGGCTAACTCTCTCTCTGCTCAAATCTCAGCACTTTGGAAAAGCCTTCTGTCGAACCTCAAATAGTTCCTTGTTACTGTCTACCTGTTTACGCTGCTTCATTTGCCTCTATAAGCACATTCACTATCTGACATTACATTAGATGCTTGATTCAAAGTTTATTATCTGCCTTTCCCACAGAATGTAAGGTCTATGGGAAGAAGAGAATGCATCTTCTTTTTGCCACTGTATGCCCAGAGCCTAGAACAAACACCTGGCATATAGTGGGCTTCCAATCATACATGCTGATTGATTGAAATGAATGAATGGGAACCACAGCCAGCTCTTCTTATATAGTGGGTTTCCCTATAGATCCTTAAGCAGTATAATTAATGCCCTTTTGAAAGATGGACAATTCAGCATCTTTCTGCCTTGAGTTCCCTCAATGTTGAGGGGTCACTCCACACTTTTCTACTTCTCCCTAAGCTGCACCCACTAGCAACTGAAACGTTGCCCAGTGCAGCTGCACCAGCATAGCAATGGCCAAAAGGAAGCTACAACTTGAGTCCAAGCAGCTTTAGGCTTCTCAGATGTCCTGGTCAATGCTGAGCTCACATTGCCTCACTAGGGGTGTGCATCTTGACTGACTCTCCTGTCAGCCTCATCAAGTTTCCTTAAAATTATCCTTAAATTCTGGTGTTAACACCCTGCCTTGGGCTTTGCTCCCACTTTAAAACTGCTTCTACTTCTAGTTTGATGCCCAAGAAATGGCCCATTTGTAGCTGCAGATCTTTATCTTTGAGGCTTCGGCTGGTCATTGTATCTGCTCCTTTAGATGGGCCAGGGACTTAGGTGGCACTCCATCTGAGCCCTCCATATTTCCCTATTTTTGTCTGTTCTTCATTGCCTGGCACCTCTGCTGGGAGTTGGCATGCAGTTCCTAGAGTCATGCCTTGCACAAAGTAAACACTGAAGAAATAGTAATTGAATTGAATTAGAAGAGTGCTTCAGTCATCGATAACTTCAGAAAAAAACAAAAAAAGCCCACCCTAAAACAACCACTTACATTTCTCATGACTGTACGAGTTGACCAGGCAGTTCTGCCCCATGTGATATCCACTAGGGTACTGGGACAGAGACGCATGGCCCCAGCCCAGCATGAGCCAGCAGCCACCATCTGGGAGCTGAGGTGGGGCCATGGCCAAAGGCTTGGGTGTTTCTCCACGCAGCCTTCTCCACATGATGATCCAGGCTTCCTTACAGCAGAATAGGTGAACTCAAGGCTTGGCTTGTTATGTGCTTCCTGACACCCATTGGCCAAAGCTAGTGACAGTCTGGGTGGGAGGAAGCTCTATAGAGGTAAGATTATTGGAATGTGGGCTCACTGGAATCCCTGAAGTAGCAGTCTACCACAATGACACCCTCTAACCCCTGAGGAAGCTTCCTCTCCTCATCCAACATACACTGCATTCCAGGTCTCTCTGCAAAATTGTTATAAAGTCAGACCTGATTCATCTGTGAGCACATACATTGGCCCAGCCACTGCTCTACTGGTGTGTCATTAATAACATCACATGAGTGGAGTACATGTTCTTCATGCTTGTTTTAGCTTAATCACCATAATTCTTTACATGTCCATTGCCTTCTAAGGATTCCCTAAATCTCCATCTACTCATCCTCATGAGTTGATGTCGTGAAAGATGGAAAGGAGGTAGTTTTCTGCTCTATTTTACAAATGGAACCTAAGACCCCTTACCTGGGGTGATCACTATAATACTGTTGGGCAAAGAAGAATTTTAATTCTTTCTGGGCAATCTCAGTATATAGACTGTAGGCTAGCAACAGACTGTTGTTAATCATAGCAGTAGAGTAAGCTAGATTGAAAAAAATTAAAAACTCATCAACTAGGAAGAATATTATGGAATTAAAAACATATCATCTCTTATGAGCCCAGAGCCACTCAGCCAGGATGGCAAAAAGATAGAAAGTCATTTCAGCTAATGCACTCTCTCGGAGTGGAAGCCAGTTCTGGGAAAGAGTCAAGTGCTTCTTAGCCCAATAATGCTGGGGTCTTTGTTTCACAAGGGGCAAGGTCCCATCTACAAGAATTACAGAAGCATTCTTTCCCCACTGTGAAATTAGACTGTGCTCTCTCCCAGAGAGAATTAATGCAGGCCTTGGTGGCATGTGCTGGCTTCTTAGACTGGTAAGAAAATCAGCCTCCAGACTCGCTGGTCAGGAGGCAGATTTGAAAAGAATTGGTACCTTTGCTCCAACTCCTAAGACTAGACCCTTCTTCCTCTCCCTCTCCCTCTCCTAGTACAGAATGCCTGAAAGGGGAGAGAATTATGTGGATCAAGCCTGGGGCTCAGGGCTTTGGAATGAGCTTCAGAATCCCCCCCAACTTTTAGGAAAGAGTGGAATTTGCTGAGGGAAGGGCTGAAGCCACTAGCCTCAGGGACTTGAAAGAAAGGGCTGTAGAAAAAAGGATGTAGTTGCCTGGGCTTGGTGGTTCATGCCTGTAATCCTAGGGCTTTAGGAAGCTAGGGAGGACTGCTTCAGACCAGGAGTTTGAGACCAGTCTGGGCAACATAGCGAGACCTCTGTCTCTACCAAAAATTAAAAAAATTAGCCGGGCATGGTGATGCGCTGTAATCCAAGCTACTCAGGAGGCTGATACAGGAGGATCGCTTGAGCCCAGGAGTTCAAGGCTGCAGTGAGCCTTGATTGTGTCATTGCACTCCAGCCTGGGTGACAGAGTGAGACTGTCTCTAAAAAAGAAAAGAAAAGTAAAAGAATGTAACATGGAAAAAAGAAAGAGAGACAGATTCAAGGAGTGCCCTCCATTCTGAACTCAGTCTGTGGTGGGTTCCTGCTGTCATGTGGCATAAGGGGACAACTACATTTGTCCAAGTTACAACCTCTGCTTGGAGATTGACCATTTTGAATTACCTCCATTGTAGTCACCTGGGTATTTGTGATCCTGAGGGTGTAATAGGAGGTCACAGCCATGCCAGGGAGACTGATAAAGCCAGAGGCACCAAGGAAGAGGATAAGCACTCATAGTCATCTTTATTCTAGAGAACCTTGGCTGGGCTTGGGGGTAAAAACATATTCCTCTCCCAAAAAAGCATTATGCAGTGGTCAAGTCTGCCCTCATTCCAGGGCCTCCACTAACCCATGTAATGCCATTGTGCAAACTGAGAAAATGATGCCCCTCTGGGAAAATGACAAACCCTGGGAGAGGGGTGGGTTGGCTGGACTTCAGCCCCATTTTCAGCTCAATGAATCAATGTGTAACTTGCACAATGCTCTACCTGATAGTTTCCCACAGAGTACTAAATTACCTGCATGGAGATGGGAAATGAAGGGCCCTGCCCCAGCTAGGTTATGTAACAATCATAATCATAATCCCCTTTGCTCAGAGTTTCCTAGAGGCCAGGCACTAAGTAAGCTAAGGGCTTTACTTTCATGACCTCACTCAATCTTCCCAATAAGCAGGTTGTCAGCCTCATCAGCTTGTTGGCAAGTGAGGATTCCGAGGCTTTGCAAGTTAAGCAACATTGTCCGAGGACAAAGAGCTTGAAACCACAGAGCTCTGCTTACCAGCTTCTCTCTCTCTGGATGCTCTTTTTCCTCCAAATCATTCTTAAGTTTGGAAACCTGGCTCCTCTGACTGAATGGATGCCAACAGGTTTTATTTGTTTGTTGTCTGTCACTTTTATTTCACCAGTTCCCTTCAACTACCCTGCAGATTTCATTCAGTGCTAGGAAGTAGTAGATCCAAAAGGTGGATGTGGGTTGGCCTCCCAAGCCTCGGATCACTCTACAGGTGTCACTCTCTTCCCTCTAGCACCTTGGTTTGTCTTGCACCAGCCAAAGTTTAGTGACTATAGCAAAGGCCACCTATCCTGTGTGGCTGGTGGGGCAAAGTGCAGTGAAGCCATGCCCTCCCCACTCCCCTCGCTGTGGTCTAGACTGGCTCCCCACTGTGGAGGTTGTGCTGCTCTTTCTTCCGCACAGCCTCCTTCTCTGCCTCCTAACACTTCTCTTGTTAGTAGTTCACTCGGGGGATTGGCTCCAGGGACATCTCAGATGGGCTCCATCTACTTTTCTGATTCTCTCCAGGCTGACTCAGCACTTGCTATGATAGAGCTCAAGGATATCTGCTTTTTCTGCATCACCATTTGCAAAGACATCATCACTAAACCATTTCATTTAATCATCTCTAATTTTTATTGTCAAGAATTCCCTACGTGCCAGTGACTGTAACTTTGTGGATATCGTCCACACCCGAGTGTCCCTCTGCAGGGTGCTGTGTGGCTTCCTCAAGTTCTTATCATCTCTTTGTCTGTTGAAAGAACCATCTCAGAAGCAAGTCATACAGATGCATATATGTCTGTGGGTGTGTGCGTGTGCATGTGCGTGTAGTTCTTGATTCCTAAATGTTACCAAATTATTGACTGTTTCAATCTTGTTATTTTTAATGAGTAGGTTATGTAGACATTAAGTTGGCAAAAAGCAATGAAATGTCTCAATAATTCATTCCCTCTAAGACAGCAAAGTGATGAGCCTAGTTGTCTTGCAGGCTCTGGTCCAGCCCTCCACACGGGAGTTAAGAGCATGGGGGCCTCTGAGTATGATACTCTCTCCTCTCGTTTTGAGGCTATGCAACTACGGGTGTTTTGGGCTGTGTGGAAACTATCCTTAGAGGCTGCTGCAGGGTAGAGCAGAGAGCTGCTAGGCACCTCCAAGTGGAAAGACACCAGAAAGGAGACACTCTATATTTCTTTAAAGGCCCAAACACCTTTATTTGTGTGTTCCAATTCAGATTATGGGGGAGAGAAACAAAAAGCACGACGTTAAAAAAAAGTCCAGCCGTGATGATTTATGTGTATCATTATGTAATTTAATGAGATGCAACTCATATACAAATGCTAATTTTAAAGGGCAGGAAATTCTGCAGGAAAAGCAGGGTGGTAGAAAGGAAAGATTCTTTCCCCAGATTGGAAGAAACTTTGCCAGGGTTGCAGAACCTCAGGGGATGTGGGGAGCCCCTTCAGAGTCTGAGGGTTGGGCGCTGACCGCCCAAAAGCTCCAGATGAGAATCTCAAGGGCGACCCTGACTGCAGCCGCATGAAGTGCAAAGCCTGAAAGCAGAGCTGCCAGACAGTAAATCCAAACACAGGATGCCCAGTTCAGTTTGAATTTCCAATAAATGGCAGAGGCCGGGCACAGTGGCTCACACCTGTAATCCCAGCACTTTGGGAGGCCAAGGTGGGTGGATTACCTGAGGCTAGGAATTCAATACCAGCCTGACCAACATGGTGAAACCCCGTCTCTACTAAGAATACAAAAAATTAGCTGGGAATGGTGGCACGTGCCTGTCATCCCAGCTACTCGGGAGGCTGAGGCAGGAGAATCATTTGAACCCAGGAGGCGGAGGTTTCAGTGAGCCGAGATCGTGCCACTGCACTCCAGCCTGGGCGACATAACAAGACTCTGTCTCAAAAAAAAAAAAAAAAAAATTGGCAGATACTTTTTTAGTATAAATATGCCCCCATGTAATATTTGGGGTCAACTTATGCTAAAAAAAAGTATTTGTTGTTGATCAGAAGTTCAAATTGAACTCATTGTCTTATATTTTATCTGGCAACCCTACTTGCATGGCCCTCTCCCCATACCCCAGCTCATAATAATCAAGAGCACAGGATAAGAAAGGAGGTGAATAAGGAAGGCATGCAGGGAAAATCAGTGCTTTCTTTTTGGATAGCTGCAGGTAAGGAGTGAACAAGGCTTTAGTACTAAAGCTACTTAAAATGACTTTGAACAGTAATTAGAAACGGTTGTATTTAGGGAGGTAATACCCCAGTTTCCTTAGTTCTTCCCTCCTTCCCTCTATTCCTTTCTCCCTCCCGTTATCCTTCCCTCCCTTTTCCTTCCTTCTTCTTTATTTTCTTTGCTTTCTCTTGCTCTCCTTTCTAATTTTATTTCATTGAATAAACATTTATTGGTGATTGACTCTGTGCAAAGGAAATCTTCGAAATGTGATTTCACTCTTATCCAAGTGTATCTTTCTTTAAGAGTTTTTGAACAATTATAATCACATAGATAATCTAAAGTTTCAATAGAAACATAGCCTCAAAAAAGATGATTACTTCATTGTAAAATGTACCCCGTTGGACCTGGGAAAGAAGAAGCTAGAAATCGAAAGGCCGATTTGGTTGATTCATGACAACCTTGGGCAAGCTATAAGCTTTCTGCTCCTACAACAATCTAATGGCATTGCTAACTCGAAAAGAAAACGTGATTATTTTCAATGTAAACTCTAAAATGTGCTAAGCTGCTTCTAAACCTCCTTTTGGAAACACTTCAGTAAAAATGAAAAAGGATAACTTGGGTCATAGAAGAGGCAAAAGCCCAGAGCCAAGAAAATATAGGTTGTTTCTATACTTAATTCTTAGGCTAATCTTCCCTTCAGAAATAGTTTCTAATCAACTCTCCATCTTTGGCTGCCATAAGAGATAGAGAATGAAATGTAGAAGGAAAATCATAAAAGCTGCTTTGTTTCCCTATTTTCCAATTGATCTTAGCCAAAACTCTGAAAAGCGATGTTTCCCTATTTTCCAAAATTTTTGTCCAGATATTGGGCAGGTAATTTCTTTTTTTCTTTCTTTCTTTTTTTCTTTTTCTTTTTCTTTTTCTTTTTCTTTTTTTTTTTTTTTGAGATAGGGTCTTGCTCTGTCGCCCAGGCTGGAGTGGCGTGGTGCCATCTCGGCTCACTGCAACTTCTGTCCCCTGGTTCAACCGATTCTTGTGTTGTGTCTCAGCCTCCTGAGTAGCTGGGATTACAGGCCCCTGCCACCATGGCCAACTAATTTTTTCTTTTTTTTTTTTTAAGACGGAGTCTTGCTCTGTTGACCAGGCTGGAGTGCAGTGGCGCAATCTCGGCTCACTGCAAGCTCTGCCTCCAGGTTCATGCCATTCTCCTGCCTCAGCCTCCCGAGTACCTGGGACTACAGGCGCCCGCCACCACACCAGGCTAATTTTTTGTGTTTTTAGTAGAGATGGGGTTTCACCGTGTTAACCAGGATGGTCTCGATCTCCTGACCTCGTGATCCACCCACCTCAGCCTCCCAAATTGCTGGGATTGCAGGAATGAGCCACCGTGCCCGGCCATGCCCAGCTAATTTTTGTATTTTTAGTAGAGACAGGGTTTCACCATGTTGGCCAGGCTGATCTTGAACTCCTGACCTCAAGTGATCTGCCTGCCTCAGCCTCCCAAAGTGTTGGGATTACAGGCGTGAGCCACCACGCCCAGCTGGGCAGGTAATTTCTGATTCCAGGGCCTCCCAATGGGACACTGAGAGAAAACACAACTGGGTTGACTCAATAAACAGGGACTATTTGCCAGCTAACGTTTATTGTGCATCTCTATCAACTAAGCGCTCTGCATTCTCAAACTGTTGAAATTCCACATGTATGACAACCTCTTCTGTATTTGTGTATATCAGGCATGGACTCTTATTTTCCATGGAGTTTGAGTTTGCTAGCTTTCCCATTAGTACTTACACAAAGAAATGTCGGTCAGCCTCCCCAGGTTCCTCTTCCTGGCCCTTCTCATCCTCTCAGGGAGCTGTCACTATAGGCAGCCTCAAATTCACAGCCTGTCTCTTGTAGCTGTTTCTGGGCTTGATCCTCCTAAGCTTTGTACTTGAGCCCGTCACTTTGCATAAAAGGATGTTCTTGACTACATTGCCACCTTTTGTTCCTTTCATCAAATGGAAATTACCTTTGTTATGAAATCATTGGTTGACATATAATTTACTCTTGCTGTGATCTGGTAGAAAATTGTACATTAAAAGAAAACCTCAAATACAACAGCACTCAAGTTGAAAATGTCCTATTATTTCCTAAAGAGAAGGACAAAAAGCGAAAGATATCAGAAAATATTGTGAACAAATGGAAGATTTTCATTAGTGTTGGATGACTAACTCAGCACCGATGGCATTCCAGTGGCTATAATTTAGCTCCACACTCAGTTGGCAGTATTAAATGCTTCCCTTTGGTGCACTTTTGTGGCTGAAGCGACGGCCTCCTATGTGTTTTGTGTGCAATTTCTCCTTAAATCAGCTGCCTACCATTTTGTTCCAGTTCACAGTGCCTTTTGGCCCCAGGATACAGTGCAAGTCCAAAGGAGGCACTAAAAGTGATGTGGTTGAATGACAGTTAAGTCATTTGCAAGGTCCTCAGCTCCAGCTATGAGGTTAGCACTAGACAGATCAACTTTTCATTCTTGGCTTGTGCCTCTGAGGTTTCCTACATAGCTAGCATTTTCAGTTGGTTAAATTCCTATTTATTTCATGGATTAGTCATACGTACCAACAGTGAGGGTGCTTCTTAGCACAACGGAAAGTCGTTGCTGGAGGAAACATTGTGGTTTATCTAATCTAGTTGTTATTTTTTAGATTAGGACATTAAAGCCCAGAAAAAAAAAAAACTGATCAAGATCATATGCCTCCCTTTTTTTTTTTTTTTGCTTTAATTGATAATTCTTATCACAGTGCCCCAACTGCCTCACATGGCAGGTGTCTTCTGTACCTTTTGTATTCCTCACAGAGGCCAGCTTGGAAGATGGGCCTACTCTGTTGAGTGCGCATATATACTTGGAGGATAAATAATCACGACTACTTACTAAACATGAACTACTAGAAGTGTTTTTAAAATATTATCTATAGTCCTCAGAACCACCCTACAATGTATGTAAAAAACACATGTTACAGATGAAGAAACTGAGGTTGAGAAGGCTGAAATAACTGGAAAAAGATTGCACAAATAATGAATCATAGAGATGGGATTTCAACTTAGATCTATTAGCCCCAAAAGTGCATGCTTCTTTCACAATAACAGTCTCACTTGCAAACACTATAGGTTTTAAGATGCAGTTAATACCTATCATGAAATTAAGAAAAAAATAGTAAAAGAAAGTTTTTTAAAAAAATGCAGTTAGAATTCTTAGGATTTCAATAGAAGCAACATGGTTCAATTTGTGTCTTTCTGTGGACAGTTATGTGACCTGAATCCTAATATTAGCTCAAGAGAGCTGAAGACTCATAGTTTGTAAATAGCTTGCAACAGTCTCAACAAACAAAAATAAGCTCTACAAGTCCCGGGGCTGAAGGGTTATGAATCTTGGAGGAAGATACGAGTTCATCTATACTTACTTGTACAGGTTGTAATTCTCTTTCATTTACCTTAGAATATGAAAGTCGGAATTACAGGAGCTAAATAATTGAAGGGTCTCAAAGGCTCAGTCGTATCTCCCTCAGAGTACTTTAACAAAAAGGAATAGCTCTCCAACATTAAAATTCCAGGCTTCAGTGCACATGAGGAAGAAGTGGTTCTCAGAACAAGGGCATGGTTTGTTCAGAGTGATAGACAGTATACTGGTCCCCAAAGATGTCCCATCCTGGAATCAGTGAATCTGTTAGGTGATATGGCAAAGGAGAATGAAGGCTGCAGATGTAGCTAAAATTATGGATCTGATGACCCTGAGATGGGGGGATTATTCTGTACTATCTGAGTGGGCCCAATGTAGTCACAAGAGTTCATATAAATGGAAGAAGGAGGCAAAAGAGGAGGGTCAGAGGGATCTGTGATGATGGGAGTAAAGTTGGAGTGATGTGATGAGAGTACCCAACCTGGCATTGCTGGCTTTACCAATGTGAGAAGGGGCCATGAGCCAAGGAATGTGAGCAGCCTCTGCAAGCTGGAAAAGGCAAGGGAACAGATTCCTCCCCTAAAGTCCCAGGAGAACCATAGCTCTGTCAATGCCTTGATTTTAGGACCTCTGCCCTCAAGAGTTGAAAGATAATAAATGTGAGTTGTTTTAAGCCACTAAGGTATGGTAAATTATTACAGCAGCAATAGAAAGCTAATGCATCTAGCCTCCCTACTTACTCAAAAAACTGACATTAGTTATAAGAGCAGTACTGTGTTAGGATATTGGTTTGGCTGACAAAGATGAAAATAACAATGGCTTAAATAAGATGGAGATTTACTTCTCTCATGTAAAAGTCCAAACTGATAGGTGGTGCAAAGTTCCTCTTTGCTCTGCGAGGCTCCACAGGGACCCAAGCTCCTCTTATCTTCTTTGTCTTCCATTTCTCAAGGTGTTAGCCCTCATCGGCATGGGTGAAGGTAGTTCACTATTAGACCGTGGACTAGAATATGTGAAGGGGGAAGAAAGGAATTTGTCCTTTTTCGTAAGGGCATGAAGGGGGTATAGATTAAGTAGGGAAATAGTAGTCAGCCCCATTTCTGGAAGTCAGGGATCAGAGGTCAAATCCTGGCATTCTTAAAATTATCCCTGCTCGGCAGGGTGCGGTGGCTCACGCCTGTAATCCCAGCACTTTGGGAGGCTGAGGCAGGCGGGTCACGAGGTCAGGAGATCAAGACCATCCGGGCTAACACGGAGAAGCCCCATCTCTACTAAAAATACAAAAAATTAGCCGGGGATTGTGGCATGTGCCTGTAATTCCAGCTACTCAGGAGGCTGAGACAGGAGAATTGCTTGAACCCGGGAGGTGGAGATTGCAGTCAATTGAGATCGCACTCCAGTCTGGGTGACAGAGTGAGACTCTGTCTCAAATAAATAAATAAATAAATAAATAAATAAATAAATAAATAAATAAATAAAATAATCCCTGCTCAATATCTCTGGATCAGGCTGATGACACAGTCACCAATTAAGTGGAAGATTCTAAATTGCTGCTACTACCCTGAAAAATGTAGCCATCCACAGGACCCTAAATGTCCCCATTAAAATGTAAGATATAGAGCTATCAGATGGCATCACATAATGGTAAATTGTGGCCAGGACAGGAAGGAATTTATACTGTACAGCCCTGTCACTTGGAATCTCAGCCAGCTCTCTGCACATTCTCACCCCTGTCATTTCATTAACCTTGCAAAAACATGGGCCTGTATTTCACATCATCGAATTTTTTAGACATCAATTACTGTGAAATAGCTAGCTTTTTCTGTTTTATCTCCTTTAATCATCACAACAATGTTACAAGGGAGATACATTATTATTCCTATTTAACAAATGAGGAAAGGCAGACACAGAGACATGAATAACTTGCCCAAGTTTACATAGGTAATAAGTAATGAAATGAGATTTGAATCACCAGACAGTCTGGCTCCAGTCTTTGCAAAGGGAAGAGTGGATACTGGAGGAAAATTAGCAGTCTCTGCCATAAGTTCTTGGACTAATGTGAGCTAAAGAAGACTGCAGTCACATGTAATTTTGCACCAAAGAAAATGTAAACCAGCCCAAAAGATCGTATGCACTTGTTCAGAACTGAAAGCCAATATGAAAACTCTTCTAAGTCACTGTGCTATCAGATAAGCCCCTGAATGACAAGGGCTTATCTGACTATCCTTTAGCATGGGGTTAAGAAATTCTTGCCGGAATTTTCCTTTCCATGCACGAGGCCGGATATCTTAATCAGTTAATTTTTTCTATGTAATAAACTATGCCAAAACTTAGTAGTTTAAACAATAGCCATCTATTAGCTCATAATGTGGATTACCAATTTGGGTTGGGCTCAGCTGGCTGGTTGTTTGCTGACCTTGGCTGGGCTCACTTTACATGTCTGTGGTCTGCTACCATTCAGCTTGTAGGCTGTGTTTCTGCACATGGGCTGCCATAGGCCAGCAACAGGAATGAAGGGACTACATTCATGACAACCTTCATCCAGTAGGCTAGCTTGGGCTGACTCATGTGGTGCAGGAAGGTTCCAAGTACAGCAATAGGACAAGTTCCAGTGGACACGTGCTTCCCCAGTTTCGGCTTACATCCCATTTTCTACTGTTCCATTGGCCAAAGAAGGTCAAGCAGACAACCCAGACATAGGGATGGAGGAAGACTTCACCTATGGATGGGAGGAGCTACAAAGCTATGTGCAAGGGTGTGGATAACAGGGAGGAGACGACTTGATGACCATTTGCACAATCCACCGTAGTATTGAAAGTAAAAATAAGTTTGGCCCAAGAAAAAGGAGTGTTTCTCAGCAATATTTCATCTTGAAGGTGAGTTTTATCAATCTGAAATACAAATTGCATCTTAAAATACGATTAAAAGCATTTGTCCCTAAATAACCACCACATGGAAGAAAAAAAGCAGAGAGAATGCCTGCAATATCATTATAGTGGGAAGAACTGGGTTCCCATTATCAACGGAAAGTTGAGATACTCTTGAAATAATCAATAATGATAACTGGATCAAGATTTCTATTCTTTATTTTTCCCCATTTAACATATAGATCCACTATTAAAATCTCAGGGTCACAAGCATACATTCTGAAAATGTACTTCAATGGCAGGCCTACCTGGCAAAGGTGGTGATGCTGCTGGCCTCTTCAGGGTTCAGACTGCAGCAATCCTGTCTGGTACAACTTGCCAGCTCCATTCTAATCGCCTCACCCCAGTGGCTGGAGTCACCAGGTGTCAGAAAGGCACCCCACTGATAAAAGAAAAAATGCTGACCTGGGAACCCTGACTGCCAGGCTCTGAATGTTTCAGTTAGATTGAACGAGGAAAATAATTGCCTGTCAAAACAGTTAATTACATTTGAGAAACCTTGTGTCCATCTTTCTTTTTGACAGGAGGCCTCGTATGTCTTCTTCTAGGAGGACTCTCAGCTGATGTTGGTTTTTTTAGTCTGTATGAGCGATGGACAAGCTGTCACTACCCATTAGATTTTGGGTGGTCCCAGGGGACCATCCCAAGTTTGAGGAAAGTTGGCAATGGAAAAAGGAGCATCTGATAGGAGCAGTCAGTGAAGTCCTTGGGTGAGTGAATTTTTATTTATTTACATACCATTCTCCTCCCCATGAAAAGATTTCAGGTGGCCTCCAAAAATATATGTATAACAGAATTTTACAAATAAATTATAATAAAAGGAAAATAGGGCAGAAAGAATTGTTAAAGTGAAATACTAATTGGCTACCGGGTTTTGTTTTGTTTTGTTTTTTTAAGGCAGGTCACATCAGGAATATATAATGTCAGGGAAGAAAGATTTCTTTTCCTCTTCCATTGTTAGGTTCATGGCTATAACAAAAGACAGATTAACAATACAAAAGCATACAAATGTATTTAAGTTTTTCATGACATTGAAACCTTCAGAAATGAAGATCCAAAGAAACAGGTGAACTTGTCTATTTTTATATTTAGTTTTGAAAAAGAATGAACAGTTGTGGAGAAGTATAATTGGACAAAGGAGATGACCTAATGGTGATAACTAGGGACAACTTAGCAAGGCCTATTTGTTCCGACTCATCTCTAGCCCTGTGTCTTCACAAATAAGGATGTTCCTTTTCTCTGGGTATAAGGAAGGCACTTCTCAAATGAAGGTTTTCTGACCTCCTCCAGGGGAGAAGGGCAGGAGAAAGTCGAAGAGTGGTTTTCCTGGGTTTTATGACATCCATCAGGGAAGAAGGGTTGAGGGACAGTGAGAGGGACTTTCCTGCTTCTGCTGTTCCCTCAAATGCCAAGGTGCCATATTCTGGGGTAGCATGTCCTGAACCCCATCAATAACCTATTTCATGAGTCCCAGTGTTCATGAGATAAAATTTATCTGATTTCTCTGGAGAAGAGCATTTCCTCTTACTATTACGCTTTGAAATATTCTCCAGAGAGTCCACATAGTGAAGACTCTGTATTACTGAGAACTGGTGCCTCACCACCCTCCTGTTGTAAATACTGGGTGACCAGCTTCACAGGTTAGGAAGCCCCAAGGGTTGGGCCTCTCAGCCCAGTTACCTAATGAGGCCCGGAAAGACAAGGCCCTGTGGGTCTGGATATGCCAGCTCACTCCAGGGGCATAGGAAGATCATCAGTAAGGGTTCAGCTGCCCTCTGGATTCCTGAAGCGTTTTTAGAAACATGCTAAGAATTCTTTTAAGGGAACCTAAAACTGGGTTCTCCTTTAGAAAAGAGACATTTACATGAAAGGCCATATACAAGTGTATGCCACAGGGCTGGTAAAGACACCAGGGAGGCTGCCCCACCTAGGCCTAGCTGGGACTGGGGCATGTGCCTTTCCAGGCTCACACAGACAGGGAGGTAAGCCCAGCCAACCCTGATGAGATTCTGGACCAGATTTCTTTACGGGAAGTTGAACTTACAGGACTACTTGGGAAACCGAGAGAGAACAGGTGAAGTGACTGCAGAAGTGTTCTGCGCCCCTGATAACTCCAGATTTCTAGTTCTTACAGAGGCAGAGAGCATGCTGTTCAGGCGCAGATGCTGGCGTTGGACACACCCAGATGTCAGTGTGAAAAGAAAATAAAATTCCGGGACCCCAAACTCAATACACCAAAGGGAAAAGGAAAGCTTGGAAGCTGAGTCACACAAAAAATCGGTCTTTTGTTTCTAAATAGACAGCTACAAGATAAAAGGACACATGTCTCTCCAGGTGGCCTCCCTCACCTTGACAGTGTGAATTAACAGCTTATCTTCATGGACATGGGACAAGAGGAGACTGGAAATCATCTCCCACACCACCCTCTCCAAGACAAATTCATATTTAACTTCTACTTCTGCTCTGTTGACTTTATCCTATGTAAAGTACAGATTTACTGAGCACGAGACAAATGCATAACTGACTATTTCTTTACCCTCTCCTTTTCACATGCAATATGCAGATTCAGTGAGCACTAATCGAAATCTCACAAGAATGTGACCATCCTCTCCCTCTTTTTTGTCTTTCCTCCTTTCCTCTCCTGCCAACTTTTTACCCTTTAAATATTAAAGCCCTGAAACTCCTCTTTGGAAAAAATGCAGGCCATAGGTCCTACTGTCTGCGGCTTGTGTCTCCATTTCCTGGGCGCATTCCCAACCTTGGCAAAATGAACCTCTAAACTGATTGAGACTTACCTAAGTCATTTTCTTCAGTGTACACCAGCATTACCACTGGTAGGCTGAGTGGCACTGAACAAGTGACATAACCTATCTGACATAACCTATGTTGCCCTAGACTCCTTATCATGGCAGGGGTGGCCCATCTGGGGTGGCCGCTGTGAAGACGCTGGTTGCAATGGGGGAGGCACAGCTAGGGCTGCGCACTCCATGGAGCCATCCAGAGCCAGCAACAGGTGGGAGCCATGCCCTCTTCTGAGTTGAAGGGGTGGGAGCCTCACCCTCCTGGGCATAGCTGCAGCCTCCCAGCTGCAGCTGTGGACCTGGGCATCCCTGTGCTCTGGGGCACCCGGGAAGGCCCCCTGCTCCCGCAGGCTTGGAAGTGCCTGCTCCTACTGCTTGGCCTCTCCCCACTCCCGGCGCCCACTCCAATTTTGGAGCAAAGTTGTGGCTGAGCCTGGGTGCTGTCACCACTGACCAGGTGTGTGTGCACTTGAGGTAGTGCTGATACACCAGCTCCCAGCTGCCTCAGCCCCCTCTGGACTTTGGGCACTGAGGAGCACAGGAGGGAGGCCGAGGGGGTGTTGAGGGTGGTTTTGTGTGGGCCTGCAGGCACTCCTCAGCATGAACAGCCTGGGCACCATGGGTGACATGTAGATGGTGGCAGGAGGCAGACAGGTTTCTGGGCAGAAAAGGGCAGGTCTCTGGTGAAGCCCACCTTCAAACAGGGAGGGCCTGAAGCCTGGGGGCTAGGCTGCCAATTCCATGTGGAGTCCACAGTCGGGAATGAAAACCTCTGGTGCTTTTTCTGGGCCACCCACAGACCAATCAGCATGCACTTTCTCCCTTCTGAACCCATAAAAATCCTTGGACTCAGCTGGACTCAGTCAGACTCAGGGAGATGTCGGGACAACCTGCCTGCAGATAGGAGCTACCCACTGTGGGTCTCCTCTCTGCTGATCTGCTGAGGGCTGCACTCATTGTGATGACTTGCCTGAGGAAAGGAGCTACCCACTCCAGGTCTCTTCTCTGCTGAGGGCTGCACACTTGTCGGGATGAGCTGCCTGCAGATAGGAGCTACCCACTTTGGGTCACCTGAGAGCTGTACTGTCATTCAATAAAGCACTTCTTCACCTTGCTCACAGTACAGTTCTCTGCACACCTCATTCTTCTTGGATGTCAGACAAGAACTTATGACCTGCTGAATGGCGGGACTGAGAGAGCTGTAACACAACAACACAACAGGGCTGAAACACACCCCCTGCTCACCATGTTGTGGGCAAAAGGGAGAGAAGGAGAGAAGAGCTGCAGCCCCTTGGGGAGCCCAGACCTAGGAGCTCCCCGAGCCAGGGCTGTAATACCCTCTTTGGGGCTCTGCAGTTCCTGGCATCTCCAAGCTTGCGGGTGCCACTCTGTTCCCCAGTGCCTGCAGTGGAAGCCACTTGTGGTACACCTGGTCCAGCTGCAGCCTCTCAGGGAGTCAGGCACCTGCACCTGGAGCTGCCTTCCCTGCCGCAGCCAACGTGCCTGGCTGTGCACAGTGGCCAGACCCTGTGATCATTTACTCACACACCCCTTGCAGCACCACACCACCTGGCTCACCCTTGGCAGGCATGGCATCTGGGCTGGTAGCATGAGCTGGGTGCAGCCTGCCAAGCTAAGTGGGCAGAATGAGTCCAGTGGGCCCTAGCAAAACTTGGGTAAAGGCCACAGAGGTATCTGGTTGGAAAGGCAACGCCCGAAGGATCCTGTGACACTTACATGACAAAGAGCTATGCATTTGCTAGTACATGGCTGTAAGTTACGGAGCATTCAACTACCAAACTTAACTAAAAAGGATGATATTCATCTCACACAACCAGGTGTCTGGGGGTCTAAAGTCCAGGGCTGGTGGAATGGCTCAGGAGAGAGATCAAGGACTCAGGTTCTTTCTAAATTCCTTTTCTAAAGAACTTTCTTCCTCATGCTGCTCCTCTGGGCTTTGTGTCTGAGTTCCAGGCAGGTAGAAGGCAGACAAGACCAATCCTTCTGAATAAGGCTTTGTTATTTTCTCCAGAGGAGAAGAAACTTCAGCTTGTATCTCATTGGTCAGAATCTGTCACATGGTCATCCCCAGCTGCAAGGAAGGATGGGAAGGCTGTTCTCCTTGCTCCTCCATTATGGTGGAGGAAGGCAAGGGAATGGGCCATGGCATGTGAAAAGCCATTCTGCACTGCATCTCCCAAGCCAGGAACAACATTTCTGTCAAAGCCCTTTTGAGGAGTGTCTTTGAAGCATTTAGCCCAGTACCTGGAACATAGAAAGCACATAAATGTTGCTATTATTCATGCCACAGGGCAGACGACCCAAAAACACGGACTTGGCTAGCTGGACCTAGGGACTTGTCAACTAAATGTACCAGATTTTCAAGGTCGGTCATAATTTAAGTCATTTATTTTCTGAACATGCATTAGATAATGAGCCGTGATTTAGGGTTCAGAAAATCTGATTAACATACCAAGAAATAATTCTGGTGGCAAGAGCTGAAGTAAAAGTTGTTTGATATGGTTTTCAGGGAATCAACATATAAGCCTGGGAAATGCAAGAAATAGATCCGTGAGGCATTTCTATACAGAAATGCAGCAGCATAATAACTGTGCTCTGAAAAACAAACAAACAAACAAAACAGAGTTTAAATCTCTTGGGGAAATCTAGGCTTTATGGAATGACTAGGGCGTTTTTCCTTTGCCCGGTAAAAATTATAGAGAGGAAAAAGGGTTTTCTTACAGAACTTAACATCAATTTACAGGAGCTAGGATTCAGAACTCTCCACTCCCCTCCAGCCTGGAGGAGACTGAATCTGTGCCCCAGGCATGCATATTAGGAGCCATTTAGAATGCAGCCCCTGAGGGGTTAGGGCGCTCACTACAATTATTTCTGGAAACTGAGCCAGGGGTGAAGTTCCTGGAGCTGCCTCCCTGAGGTCTAGCCCACCCCATTTCGTGGTTGGAAAGCAAGAAGGAAGCAGGGATAGGTAATGTTTCTATCACCCATCTACAAATAGTGTGAGCTGCCAGCCTTGCTATGCGTAGTACATGAACTTCAAAGGAGAGGACACGGGCCGCAGAAACTGGCACCGAGGCTTGGCGTTCTGGGAATCTCTGTGTGAAGGCGAAGTCGCTGCTAAACTTAGAAATTTGATCTATTTCCTTATTTGCGACAGTGTCCTTTTTAGTTCCCTGTGGAATTCCAGGTCTGCCCTGCTAATTCTAGAAAGCTAAGGGAGGGCTAGGAGGAGGTCATATAATTGATACATAATGCACAGGTACTAATTGAAGATCAAACTCACAGGATGTTAAGGCATATTTCATTGTATGGGCCAGCCAAGTGTCACAGCCCAAGGCTTCAGCAAAGTGGGAGAGCCGTTTTCAAGTGCTCTGACCTAGAATCTGCTCTCTTTCTGTCAAATGCCAGAGCAGGCCATGTCACTTTCTCAACTGTTAAAACTATGCAAAGAGAAAGAATGCACAGAACGAAAGCAGGAAGCCAAGTCCTGATAATAAGCACCTGCAGCTTTCACTTTAGGGAGATGCACCGAGAAAGGCAAATCCTCTTAAATGGCAGGATTGCACTGACTTTACACTGCTAATTTAGGAATAGAAGTCACCAGCGTCTGCCCTTCCTAGGGTCCTTCAAGCCAGCTCAGCCCATCCATTATAATCTGCATGCCTCTAATGGTGAAGTAGGGGCTGCAACATGTCACTTAAAAATACCACAGCCCCCACACCCCTCTCTCTGGAAAATATAGGAAAATATCATTTCAGTGCCTACTTGCAGGGACAGGTTTGTCCCAGAGAACACAGAGAAGATTCACTGGGACACAGGCCCGGGTTGAGGAGAAATAGGATCTTGAAAGGACTGGACTGGACTTTCTCACTTCTTGCTTGAGGTCTCAGTGATTCCTCAGCAAGGAGGGAAGGCTGAGCCTGCTAGCTGTCCTTGTCTATTTTAGCCTGGCCTATATGGCTACCCATGTAACCGCCCAACGGGCTCACTTTGCCCACTGCCTGGACATAGCCGATTTATCAAGACAGATGAATTGCATAGAGACAGAGTAATTCACACAGAGCTGGCTGTATGGGAGACGGGAGTTTTATTATTACTCATATCAGTCTCCCTGAGCATTCGGGGATTGGCGGTTTCAAGAATAACTTGGTGGGTAGGGGGCAACCAGTGGGTAAGGAGTGCTGACTGGTCAGGTCAGAGATGAAATCATAGGTAGTCGAAGCTGTCTTACACTGAGTCAGTTCCTGGGAGGGTCCCACAAGATCAGATGAGCCCGTTTATTGACCTGGGTGGTGCCAGCTGATCCCCCAAGTGCAGGATCTGCAAAGTATCTCAAGCACTGATCTGAGGCTTTACAATAGTGATGTTATCCCCAGGAACAATTTGAGAAGGGTCAGAATCTTGTAGTCTCCAGCTGCATGAGTCCTAAACCATAATCTTTTGGCTAATTTGTTAGTTCTACAAAGGCAGTTTAGTCCCGAGCCAAGAAGGGAGTTTGTTTTGGGAAAGGGCTGTTATCTTCTTTGTTTTACGCTATAAACTATAAACTAAATTCCTCCCAAAGTTAGTTGAGTCTACACCCAGGAATGAATAAGGGCACCTTGGAGGTTAGAAGCAAGATGGAGTTGGTTAGGTCAGATCTCTTTTTCACCTTCTCAGATATAATTTTGCAATGGCAGTTTCACCCAGAGTTAATTCTCTCCTGTCCCATACAGCTTAGTGTGGTTATATGATTGCATTTCAGCCAATGGGCTACAACAAGAGTAGTGGGAAACTTCTGGAAAGGGTCCTTAAAATGCTGGGGTACCAGTGTAAAGAGTCAAACTCTGTAAAATATTTGAAGAGATTTATTCTGAGCCAAATGTGAGGACCATGACCCATGACACAGCCCCAGGAGGTCCTGAGAACATGTACCCAAGGTGGTTGGTTTACAGCTTGATTGTACCATTTAAGAGAACCGAAGTTACAGGCAAACATCAATCAGTACATATAAGGTGTACATTGGCTCGAAATGGGAAGGGGGTCGGGGGGCAGGGGAGACTTCCTGGTCATAGATGGATTTAAAGATTTTCTGATTCGCAATTGGTTGGAAGAGTTAAGTTATTATCTAAAAATCTGGAAGCAATAGAAAGGAGTGTCTGGGTTAAGATAAGAGGGTGTGGAGATCAAGGTTCTTATGATGAAGCCTCCAGGTAGCAGGCTTCAGTGCTCTTATCAGATCTAAAAGGGGCCAGACTCTTGGTTAACTCTTTCCTGGATCAGGGAAAAGACCTGGAAAGGGAAAGAGATTCTCTACAGAATGCACATTTTCTTCACAAGAGACAGCTTTGCAGGGCCATTGCAAAATATGTCAAAGAAATGTATTTTGGGGTAAAATACTGTGATTTCTTTCAGGGCCTGTTCTGTGTTATATGATGTTATGCTAGAGTTAGGTTGGAATTTGGTATCTTATTGCCACAAAGAGTCTGTTTTGTCAGTCTTAAGATATCTTTTAATGATAATGCTGGTCAGTTCTGCCTGAATTCCAAAGGGAGGAGGGTATAATGATGCATGCCTGACTCCCACTGCCCATCATGGCCTGAACTACCTTTTCAGGTTTACTTTGGAATGCCCTTAGCTGAGAGAGGGATCCATCAGTTGGTTGGTGGGCTTAGAATGTTACTTTTGGTTTACAAGGGCATTACCTTATTCTCCTTTCCTTGCTCTTGCTGTCTGAAATGAGCTGGTGATGCGATGACTGGAGCTGGAGCAGCCACATTGGACCATGCAGCGCCTTTGGGATCAAGGCCCAGAGCTGATAAAGTGACAAAATAGAACAAGTCTGGGTCCCTGAGGATTTTAGGAAGTAGAGGAAACATACCAGATCTGGACTGTCTATTTCCAGGTTTAAGTGAGTGAGAGAAAAAAATTCTGTCTTAAATTTAAGTTATTTTTATTTGGAGTTTTGCTGTGCTTGCAATTGAATCTGTTCCTTACTACTATAGAAGGAGGTAGGCTTATTCTAAAATCATGTTGTGATTTATTGTATGTGCCCAGACATCTATGTAGGGGTATATAATTAATAGCTTGAGAGCTTCTTTAACTTAAACCTCTAAAACCATAATAAAATTAATGACTGAACTCACTATACATAGTCCTAAACACATATATATGCATGCTGATATTCATATTATATTATACTAGAGTAAGCTACATATATTTTAGTCCATGGTGAGATGTTCTACATTCCTGGCCATTTTGCTGTTTGTAGAATATCAAGGTATCAAGCTCCTTTAGACGTTGATAAGAAGTGGGGTGTGACCTGGACATAGCCACTGCGGAAAGGATCCCACTGCCCCGCCCTGGGGACAGTGGCAAGTAAGGACTGTACTCTGTCCTCTGGGCACTGCCCTGCTGGGAGACCATGCTTCCTCGGCTACATGGGATCACTTGGATGTCAGTGTGCCCAGGTGCTTGATGGCACTTATGACTAACTGCACCAGCTTTGCATGTCCTCCTTCCACATTTATGGGGTAAGTAAAATAAGGACTATCCCTCTGTATTCAAAGCACTGGTGTCAGGCTTTTTGATACTTGCTTTCAAACCCATTCTTGACTGATAAATCTCTTCTAGTAGAATCTCATTTTATTGAGGCTAAGGACTTCTCACTGGGCATAAGTTTCCCTGGAAACCCAGGCCCATTAGTGCCTCTGCTTCAGCCCCAGCACCTGTGCAGTATCTGCACAGACCAGCTCATGCATGTTGTGTGCTGAGTGAGTTCACGTTGCAGTTAGTAGTGGCAGTGAGGAGAGCTGAGTCATTCCACCACATCATTCTGTTAGCATACAAAGCCCTTGAGTGAGCATGGACCCAGGCAGCAGACTTCTGAGCCCTTCTCATGCAATCCAGAAGGTTAGCTTCAAAACACATCCTTAAACTTCTTTCTTCTTCTTTTTCTCCTTTCTCCCTAGTCTCAAGATGAAACCTGGAAGCAAATTACAGAAACCTTTTCTTCCCTTAGTTTTAACACATAGCGTTGAAATTTACTTTGAAATTCCCCTCTCTTCCCTTTTCTACCATACACTCTTTTACCCCATGCACATTTATCTAACTGTATGCTTGTTAAACTCATACCATGCACATTTATCTAACTCTATGCTTGTTAAGAAATTCCACGGGCAAATTTGAAACAAATCAGGTGTAAAAGCCCCATTGTGGAATTCTCCCCCACTTGAAGATTGGACACTCTAAAGGCTGTCCATTGTTGAGATGGCACCAGCCTATGCTCCAGGTGGACCATAACTCAAGATAGGCATTGAAACAAGACATACATCCCCTATACCCCCACACAACCCCTGCATGCCTCCTATATCAAAGTTCCCTTTTTAAACCCCTGTACTCAGCCCAAACTTTTGAAGTGGTTCCTTTAGAGCATGAGCCTTGGCCATTTCCCTACTCCCAGTGCTAGCTTTGGAACTAAAGTCACTTTCCTTTCACTGCACTTCATCCTTGTTATTGGCTTTGGAAGCAGCAAGCAGCCGAGGCTGTGCTCAGTTACACTCAGACCTGCTGAGTCAGCATCTTCTGTCATGAGTCTTGAACTGAATCAGAGGAAGCTGAATTTGGGAACCACTGATCTCAATGACAGAATGGATATTCCTATTTCCAAGTCAAATGGTCATAATTTGCCTATTAGTAGATACTACTGGTTGCAAACAGAACACGTATTTTCTCTTTCTTCCTTGCAGTCAGAGCCTCAATTGTGCTCAGGTGTCTATCCATTCCCTGCTCAGCCTCCTGCCTCAGGAGGTGCAGATTCCACCACTAGCTCCACAGAAGAGCCAGTTGGGTTTGAGGACAATGATGTCATTTCCTGTTGCTAGGGTTGATTCAGGAGGGGACATGTGACTCCAGCCTCAACAATAAGAAATGAGATAAAGATCTCCAGGGGTTTCTGTCTCCTAAGAAAGCACTTCCAGAGGAGACCGTAGCTCTTTTTCATCAGCTGTTGGGTCTAGATATGATGTCTGGAATAGCTGCAGCCATATAGCTACTGGATCAAGGGCCGCAGAGAGGAGACAGGGATAGAATTTTGATGTAATTGGGCTACTAAATCAAGTAATCCGTGAACTAAAAATAAAATTTGAAGCCCCTCAAATGACCAAATGGACTATCTCCTAGCCAAGAGAACCCCAGAGTAACCTTGAAAACTGAGTTCTCTGCCATGGTGGATGGAGGCTCAGACACTTGTTTTACCCGCTCCCTTACTAACCACAGTTAGGCTTTCTTCTCCAAGGGCTTCACAGAAACAAGTCTTTTCCAAGGACTCCACCACTGATATTGACAAACTGCCAGATGCTACCTCTCCTTTTTTGACTGGTAAGAGACCACTGGCCAGGGAATGGTTCTGGCTAGTCTATGAAGAATGCACCACAGTACATGTTTTTGTGCTCTCTGCTTCACTTTTTGACATCAGAGGGCCCACTCCTCCCTCAGGTCATGTTAATGCTGCTATTTTTTGTATCTGGGACCCATGAAGGGGCATAAAGCTCAAAACGCTCACGTGCATGTTTCTCCTCCCATAGATATTCATGACTCTTCCTAGAGCTTATTAAATACGTATATTTGGGCATCCCACTCAGCATAAATTTCTGTTCCCTTTGTCCCTTCCTCACAGTGTCAGGCTGGCCCGCGCTGGCCTGGCCGGAGGCTCTGCTTCCCAGCCTGTCAGGGTGGCCACCCTGCAGGCTGCAGCCCTTTATGAGAAATAAATTGCCTGATTTATGAACATCACCATTTTTCAGTTGACAGATCCTTAGGCACCCTTCCCCCACATATACACCTGCTCAGGGTTAGAAAATGTAGTTATCACAGAAGGGCTACATTTCCATCTTGAGCACCTGTGCTTGTCAAAGACCCTGTAACATCTCAAAGCTCTTTTCAAATTGTGCCTCCTCCACCGGTGGGGCCCATCACAATCTCTCTCTCCCTCATTGCACCCTCATTTCCCTTAAAATTTGTATCGCTATTTATGGTCATTCGCACACACATCGATCTTCCCTTCTTCACTGTGAAATTCTGGGAATTAGGGACTTGTCAATCACCTCCACGTCTCCACCCAACATCTACCCCAGGCATGGCAGATTCTTGCAGAGGCAGTGAAAACCCAGCGCTGAATGGCACAAGGTGTGTGTGAGGGAACTGCACACTGCCTGTGCTTGTTGACAGGGTTTTGCTTTGCCGTGGTAAAGTCCCAAGTTAACATCCAACCAATTCTCACTAAAGCAGCCGTGGAGAGGTATGATGGAGTTGTTCTATTCAGTGTTATTACACCTCCAATACCCCGCACACCTGAGCAAAGACAATTTCACTAGGTAATTTCGGGGCCAGGGTTTCTTCTTCTTTGTTAATGTCATATTATTTGCTTTTCAGGAATCTGCATTTAAATGGATAAAAACCAGAATTTAATTTGGAACAAACCTGGGTGGAAGAAACATACTAAAAAAAAAAAAAAAAAAAAAAGAAGAAGAAGAAGAAGAAGAAGTAAGGGGCTGGGAAAAGAATCATCCTGTGGAAAATTTAGTTACAAATTGGATTTTCCTTTTTCTGGTACTTTAATTTGCTCCTTCCATGCTTTTGTTATTTGACTTAAGAAAAAAAGCAGAAACCTTTAACTGGTAATAATAGTGCCTACAAGTTAAGTATTTCCTTTTAATAGTAGCAATCATAATGGCAGCTACAGTGTAGCTATTTTATTAGCAAATGAGTAATTTATAATCAATCAAAATGAATTTCTTTTCCAACAGCTATTTTATTATCTTCGTATTTTTTCTTTGCAGAGCTTCTAAAAAGCTTTTGCCCCAAACAGATTAACTTACATTTTCTCCTCTCTCTTTCTTTCTCTCCATCCCCCTTGCTCTGTTACTTAAAAGAAACATTCTCAAATGCCTTAAACTTTGGGTCTCAATAATGAATAAAAGGATATATTATATATTATCAAGGATAGCCTTTTCTAAAAATGTAATTTGGACACTGTTTCATGTTTTCTGGATGGTAGCCAGCAGTGGTAAGTAGGTTCCGACATGGATCACATCCCTATAGTCTATTTTTTTAAATGGTGCTTTTTAAGTCTCTGACTAAATTTGTCATAGAGGTTTTAATATAGGAAGCAGTTAAAGTTTTATTTTTCTTTAAAATATAAAGTGAAGCCTTCTACCCTGCAATATAACCAACCAGGGGCAAAATGGGGAGCAGTCATCCAGCTTTATGTTTCTTTTCCTCCTTTTTTTTTTGTGTCAAAGGCAATGGCCCTCCAAGCACAATGGGGGGCTACTTTGACTGTTCCTGACACCCAGGTGACCTGGGCATGCGCTGGTTGAGTGGTAAAGTGCAGGAGAGAATGTCAGTGAGAGTTGCTGCTCCTGGGGGCATTTACCTGTGCTGCATAAAAAACGTGATGGTGCTGGGTGGGGGCACCTGCTGTTAGCTGAGACTCTGGGCTAGAAGTGTGGGGCCCATGGCATTCCGTGAAAACTGGCTGACTTGGGTTATTAAGTTGAATGAAGTCTTCCTCTAAAGACACGCCTTGACAGCACAGAAAGAAAGACAGCACAGAAAGAAAGACAGCACAGAAAGAAAGAAAGAAAGAAAGAAAGAAAGAAAGAAAGAAAGAAAGAAAGAAAGAAAGAAATCTGCCACATCAAGCATAAATCCTGTTAATTCATAAAGTAGAGAGCAGCAATTTGCAAAGGGCATTAGCAAGAAGGGAACTTTCTGGAAATTACCAAGTGGTAAAGACTCAACCCATAAAGACTTGATTTTCAGTAAAGGGAGAAGCAAAGAAACAGTCCTGAAGGAGGAGGGGCCGTGGCAATGTTAGGCTTCCCAGGGCTGGCAGGTAGCGTAGGCCTCATGGGACACACAGAGAGACCCTTCCCTTCCTCAATCTCAGCTCTTGTCCTTATTCTGTATTTCCCTGAGAAAAAAAGAAGCATCAGAAGAAGTCCTGCAAATCCCACTATGAAATCCCCCACTTCGCCTGCCTCTCAGTTTCCAAGACAACATCCTTCAATCTTTCCTGTCATTGGCTTCTCCCTCCCTAGAGAATAAATGGGCAGCAAGAGCTCTCTTCCTAACAGCTATAATGACAGTACAACGATAACGGCAAAACCCTCCAGATTCCGCCACCTCTTCCCACTGCTGTGTCTTTTCTTTGCTTCCCTCAGCTACATTTCCGAAGTGGTAGTTGTGACTGACAGCTGCCCGCCCATTCCACTGCATCTCCTCCCATCGTTCCATAAACCTGCCCTGACTAGGCCTTCATTCTTCCCGGTCTTCTCAGTGTACTCTTGTCCAGTTATCCGGATCTGTGCATTGCTAAATCCAGGGGTCAGTGTCCCAGTCTTGATGACTGCTGCCTCCTCAAAAGACTTCCTTCTCTGGGCCTCTAGGACACCTGCTCTTTTGGTCTCTGCCATTGTGAAGTGTATATTTGGTCTTTGGCCTACTTCCTGGTATATGAATCCTAAAATCCCTGGAGTCTCCAAAGTGATATCTTTTTGTATGCTCATGAGTTGACTAATGGCTGGCGGCCCCTAGGTAGCTTCAGGATGGGTGCTGGTCACCTGAAAGACCACGGCAGGATTAGATGGGTGATTCAGCCCCACCCCAACCTGGGCTTTCCATAGGCATTGGAAACAGGGGGCAGGCTTGTGGACACAGCCCTCAACCTGAGGGATCTGATGCTACCTCTAGGTATTCATCATCAGAATGGAGTTGGATTGGAGGACAACGTGCTGATAACTACTGCAGAATTGATTGCATGCTTGCTGGTAGGAAGAAATCCTCACATATTGGGTCACAGAAGTCTTCTGTGTTGATTATTTTTGAGTAAGAGAATAGACAAAACACTTCAAGTGTGTTTTTTCACACTCGGTGTCTCCTATAATACTTGATGGGCTACTCCTTCTCAGCCTCAGTCTCATTTGCGGGTTTCCTTCCTCTTTCTAGTTTCCAAAAACTAGCTTCTTAGGAGGTCTTTGATCTTTCCGTGTTCACCCCCTATCCCACAGCTTTAAAGACATCTACAGGAGGAAGACTTTCATACTAATATCTAGACCTGCCTTCCAAATTGCATGCTCACACACTTAACATCTCCTCTGACATTCTATAGGCTCTCAAATTTTGCATATCCAGAGCCGAACTCTCCATTTTTACCACAGACGTGTTCTTTGCACAGTCCTTCACATCTCAGTTCTCATATCAACCTCATTCTTTCTAGTTGCTCATGTAAAAAAGGAAAAATTCTAGAGTCCATATTCTACATCCCAACCATCAGCAAATCCTTTCCATTCTGCTTCAAGATCTACCCAGAATCCAGTCGCTCCCACTCCCTCTGGCCTGCATTGCTGCAGTGGACTTTCAACCAGTCTCCCTGAGTCCATCCTTGTCCCTACCCACTCCACTCCTGAGAGTGGCTCTTGTTCTCAGCCAACGCTAGCTGGAGAGCTGGGGTAAGTTATGGCTGGATTTAATGAGGGTGACACAGGGAAATGGAAGGAACACTGTCCCCACGAATTCCTGACTGCTAGACCAAAAGGAAAGCCACTTCCATGGTGACATTTCCTGCAACAAATAGCTCAAATTCTAGTTCCTTCCTTCTCTCCCATTTGTGAGTCTCTGACCTGGCAAAGGAAAGTTACCTAAAATGTATCTGTTCTCTCCTTTCTCCTTTTATGTGAGCCTGAAGATTTGAACCGTGAGCCATCCAGATACAGGCTGGGACTAACATACATGCAGACCTCCCTCCAGAAGGAAGACCAAACAGAAAACCACCAGATCTGCTAAATGATAATGTGGTTAATGCTAAGAAGCACATTCCCAGCAGTTAGAACAAAGGTCTCCTAAAACACTACTTATTATAAAAAACACAAGAACAATTTGGAAATTGTCAAATTCAGGTCCTCAAGATGATTGAGGGGAATTTTACATCTACAAATCTACCAACACAAATTTGTAAACTTTCTTAAACCATTAGGAGATTTTGCAATTTTTTTTTGTTAAGCTCATCAGCTATCGTTAGTGTTAGTGTGTTTTATGTGTGGCCCAAGACAATTCTACTTCTTCCAGTGTGGCCCAGGGAAGCCAAAAGATTGGACATCCCTGCTCTAGAGGGACTGTCCCTCCAGGTTAACTAATTCCTAAAGATGGTAAACAACTCATCTGTGAGCACACCCTTCATATGCAAACCACAATACAAAGCCCACACTCGGGCCGCTATCCACCCACCTGCCCTATTACCGCAGGGCAAGACATCAGACACTGAGGACATTTCCTATGCCCTAGAGCCTGCTGAAATTTTTCAAACTAGTAAAGCCTAAGCCTGCATGTTCTGCCTCACCCATTCCTTCCTGCAGAAATAATAATAAAAGCTCTGGCCTGCAGTTCCCCGGTCTCCCTGGCCCTCCTGATCCACCTTGGTGCTTCCCTATGGTGTGTGGTGTGTCCCTCCTCCTGGGAACTGTGAATAACAAACTGTCTTTTCAATGGCAAAATCTTACCCTAATCTGTTGGCATTACTATACTTCAGACTTTCTCTCAATACACTACATTTTAAAGCAAACACATAGCACAAAATACATTTAAAAACCGAATACTAAAATATAAGCAATATAGAGAATCCTGGAAGATAAGAGAGTAGATGTAAGAAATAATAATTGGAAGAAAGTTTAGACAGTAGTGTCAGTTAGAGCACCAGGGAAAAATGTTTTAAAGAGATCAATATTTAATCGTAGCTGGGAGAAGAATTTGAATTTCGAGAATAAACTCAAAATTATGTAGATTTTCAGACAGGGATGCCTACAGAAATATAGAGAATAAAAAGCTACCTACCAAAGAATGAACAGACTTCTCTTCAGCACCCTGTTCCAAAACAGTGAACAGGCAATGGAATACCGTATCCAGCCAAAGTGTCACTTATGTGTGATGTTAACTGAAAGACATTCTCAAACTATGCAAGGACCCAGAAAGTACACCACCTTCAAGCTCTCCTTAAAACAGTCATCTCTTTCTATACATTGGCCAATTGATGAGTAAATTTAAATGACCTAAAAAAGAGAGAGAGAACTATGTTAAACATAATATAGGTTTGACATCCCTTATCCTAGATGCTTGGGACCAGAAGTCTTTCGAACTTTGGATTTTTTTTTTCCAGATTTTGGAATATTTGCATTATACTTACTGGTTGAGCATCTTTAATCTGAAATCTGAAATGCTGCAATAGCATTTCCTTCGGGCATCATGTTGGTACTCAAAAAGTTTCAGATTTGGGAGCATTTTGGATTTCGGAGTTTCGGATTAAGCAGATTCAACCTGTGCTACTGAAAGTGAATTATTAAGCCCAACCAATTCCTTTTATTGTGTTATGATTGATGCAAACATCAAATAATCATTGAAAGAGATGTTGCAGAGCAGCCTAAAATTTTATATAATTTTGATTGATTGTATTATATTCCTCAGATTAAATTCAGATAAATAGAGTGAAATACAGGGCAGGGAATGCGGCTAAACCCGGAAAAGGACTATCCACGTCTAAGTAGCTCCGGCCAGATAGCAAGGTCATGTAAACGGCTGCAGTGGCCCCATTCCTGAGTGCATGGTAACAGGGGTGGGAGGACAGTAGTTACCAGTTTAGGGAAGAGAGACACCTCAAAAAATAACAACTGCATGAGCCGAGATTGCACCACTGCACTCCAGCCTGGGCGACAGAGCAAGACTCCATCTCAAAACAAACAAATAAACAAACAAACAAACAACCTGCAGAGGAGATAGAAAATGTTTTATTGCAGATGTTGAAAAGAGGAAAAAGCTAGTTTCTGAGTTTCTAATATACTTCTTAAGTGTCACCACTAGTAGAATAAGAGTAGAATGAATAGTTTCTAAATTTCTAGGCATAAAAATGTTCAGTTGTTTCTCAGGAACCTTTTGTTGACTTCAGAATTACCAAATTTAGGAACCTTTCCGAGTATTGTTAAATGACCGCCTGACCCATGAGGCCACTTTGGGACTCTGACTGTCGTGATTCCAGTACCCAGAATGGACAAAACCAGGTAAGCAGCACCCCTTGCAAAGTATTGTTTTAACAAGATTTATTCCTATCAGGGGCTGCTACAGATGATTGTGCCCAGGACTAATACAAGTACATGGGCTTTTTCTGAGCCTCTGTGGCAGACATTTCCCAGCTTTCTGGAAATTACAACATCCTGTTGTTTATTTGATTCCCTAACTTCCTCTCCAATTCCCTCCACCCAAATTAAATATGGTTTATTTATTTAGTTTTTAATGGATGGGAATTTAAATTGTTATTGTTCTGGAAATTTTTAGAGACTTTTACAATATCCTCTTACATAATGTGAGCTATTACTGGGTGCTGAGAGTCATAGCTTTAAGGCAATATTCAAAAGAAAGAAAGGATGCAGAGCCAGGAGGGGGAAAAAAATAAATCAACAGAGAAGGAGTGTGACATGGAATCAGGAAGGGTAGAAATCAACAGAGAACTTAATTAGTAAAAGACAATGGAACTCCCAAATGTCCTCCAACAGAACCTAGGTGGGAGTGGATTTTTATATTCATGTAATTGCCAGGGAGATTGACTTTACTCAGTTCATTAATTCAAATAGAAATGTTTCTGAACACACACTTGCAATGGTATAGGCAATTTGGTAGCTATCAAAGAAAAAAATAAAGATCAATAAAATAATGTTTATTCCCTTAAGGAAGTTTCTTATAGATTGTATGAGGGAAAATGAATGGGAAACTGAATCAGAGAACAATAAACAACTATGTTCATGAAGACAAGACCAGAACTCAGGCCCCAGTCACACCTGTAGACTCTTTTGACCAAATAAGGCTCCTTCTCTTGTTATCAATGTTATTGGGTGTCAGAAGAACAGCTGCCCTGTTAATTACCCTTGTTTTGTCAAACAGCTTGGGAATCTCTCATTAAAACGAATCTCTCAAGGGATGAGCACAGAATACCCAAGGGAGGCCCTGTTGATGTATCCACATTTATCTAGAAAAGAACTTGATTAAAAGGTGTTGATATTTATAAATTGATATCAATAGTTATATATTATATAGTTATATTAGAAATGCTTGTTCCTCGGTGCCGTAAAGAAATAGCAGTTGAACATAAATTTAATTTCTTCAGCAAGGCCATTTTTACTTTCTGCAGAAAGTACACTCGCCAGCAGTTTTGCCACTTTGTTTGAGAGGACACCGAACAAAGGACACGGGGTCATTTATAACTTGACGCGTTCACCTTACTGCTGTGTCTGGTTTCCATTGGCTGGAACGGGACCTCACATTCTGTATTTGTCCTGATTGGCTAGCAACTTAGAACTTTTTAAAGGAAGCAAAGGTAGAGGAGGACAAAGGAAGGAGGAAGTAACTTGTGGAATGCTGAGAAAGGTAAAAACACCTTCAAATTAGGAAGAGGAGCAGGCTATGACCTAATGCTTGAGTGGACCAGTATAAGCATGCCAGGGCAAATATTTAGGCTAAATTGTGGGAGGTGAGAACATAAAGTACATGGATTTCTTTATCACGGCTAGCAGATATTTAAGAATGTTAGCACAGGTCTTTGAATAAATTTTGCTTTTAAGAGAAGTTGCTGTTTATTCCTAATTAGATGGGGAGGAAAGTCTTTGAAGAGGAACATCTACTTTACTTTTTTACAGTTATATATTATATATTATATAGTTATAATATAGATAGTTTATAAATGTCTTGTCTGTGAAAGTGACTATAACCTGAACTTTTTTTTTTAAGAGGATGTGAAAGTTGTATGGATTTTTTGTTACCTTCACTTTACTGCATAGGAAACAATCCACCTCATCATTTAAAATGACATGGGTATCAGTTTTGTAGACCTTTGGGGTTTTTTTTTCAGGTTTAATTTCAGTTAACAAAATTTAAAACATGACATTCCCTTGCAGACATTGTTGTATACCAATATGTATGGTTTCTTCTCTTTTTAAAATATTTTTGACCGTCATGTCACAGTTGTCAGTGAGAGTTTATAATACCCAGAATGTGCTGCATCTCTTGTCTCAGTAAGTTTTAAGCAACATTTAAAAATATTAAAGCATGTTGCTTGACCTAATTTTTTAACTTTTGAGTTGTTCCATTAAATGGAGTATCTCATACATTTCAACTATTTTATACTTGCAGTTGTTAAGAGTTAAAAGGTAGATGGACTTGTCGCAGACAGTGAGTTAAGGAATCCTTTCACATTTTTCCCAACTTTAAAATTAAGGATTCTCAGGGCTCCGTGTAGAGCAGTGAAAATAAGACCTCGTGTGTGTGTGTGTGTGTGTGAGACAGAGTGTGCACGCACGCACATGTGTGTGTGTGTGCCTGGAGGAGTATTGGTGTCCCACTTGGGTGAGAGGATTGGCTGTGAGCTTCAGACCAGGAAATGTGTCATCTTGCCAAGCACCTGGCTGAGTGTGCTGGAGTGATGATCTTGAACAGAAACTTCCTTTTATGTTATTATTCACTACAAAGCTAAAATGGCCAAATATATACTGTGAAAATTGGTTTCTTTTAACAAAAGATTAGATCCCTTCTTCAGCTGTACACATTTTAAATAAAATCATATTGAACTAAAAACATGTGTTGATATTGAGCATACTGCTCAGGCAGGTAAAGGAAAAGTAAATATTTAGGAAGGTGAAGGGAAAGGGAAATATGAATTCTCACCATCTCATAGCTCATAGCCTTACATCCTGTAAGAAGATGACACTGGCAGGGTGGGAAGGGGAGGGAAGTTTAGAGCTGGGTTTCAAGACTGCCCTTACGTTTCATTTAGCAGGGGCACAGAACTCAGCACGATGTCTGCCCAATAGCTGGGGCTCAAAAATGTTGCATGGCTGGATGGCTGCCTGGATGGACGGGCATGATGGCTTTCTGCTAGTTAGTTCAGGTGTGAGTTAGTAAGTAGATAGCCACCTTCCCAGGAAGAATTCTGTAGCCTGAGTTCTCCAGTGAGCCATTTGCCAAATAAAATAAAGGGCTCCCTTAAGGAAAAGACCCTAACGCAGGCTCTCTTACGTAGATTCCTACCTGAGTCTTAGGCTACTTCAAGTTCACTTTCTATGCTAATGATTCCTTCTGATAGAAAGGATCACTTTTGTGATCAAGGGCTCAAGCTTCTTGATCAATGGACAGAGCCCTTCCAGACTTCCTCCCAACTTGCTGTATCTCTGCCTGCATTTGCCACTCTTTCTTGCTATAGCTACTGCCTAAGACTACAACAAAGTAAACTTTCCCAGTAATCTCTCCAATCTGGCACAACCAAGATCACTTTTGTGTATCTCTTCCATAGGCTTATGCCTTAAATAATTATACTAGTAGTGCTTCTACCTGCTTGTACCTATATGCCTTAAATAATTATACTAGTAGTGCTTCTACCTGCTTGTACCTAGCATTTATATTTTTCAAAGTTATAACTGCTCCTAGGTTAAAATATCAAATCATTCTAGAAAGAAAAATAGCAGTCTCCTGCCATGCTCCTCCCCTCCCAATTCTCACTTCTGACTGGCAACATTTTTAACTTTAGCCGTTCCTTACACTGCTGTTTCTTGATAGTTTTAATAGTTTGGAAATCCTTGCCATTTACTATTTTAAAAATGGTTTCACGCTCTTACTTCCCATATCTCTCAACATGTTTTTCTTTCCACACTCATATTCCTTTCTACCCAATTAGGTTGCACAGTAATCTTTACATTTAATGTTTATATTATGACCCTATAAATATTTATGGCTGAGCTATTTATTGAACCCTGATTATATTTTCTTTCTTGGACAAATTGCATTTTTCTGGATGTACTATGTGTCTCTGCTGGAGGCATACCTCTCTCTCAATACTTTAGCAGAGAAAACCTACCAGCTTCTTTCTTATCCATGGAGACCTCCATCTTGCACCCTTCTGCCACCTTGCCCTGTATGGAGAGGTTGCCCTCTGGGCCTGTTGTACAAACACCATCTTCTGAGCTCTCTCACATCATCCTGGAGATGGCTTCACTCTCTCTTGTTGAAGCACCCGGTATATAAGTTAATGCCTTTCTAGATTTACTCCTATGTTTTCAAAGAGTACAAACACGAGCTTCTTGAGAAAGCATGTGTGGGAGAGTTTTTCTTTTTGTTTTTCAGTATCATGCATACCTAAAAATGTCTTTACTGCAGAGGCCAGACCATGAGGCCAGTTCCATCAAGCCCGCCCTGGGCCAGCAGGAAGATGAGCAAGACTGAGAGGAGATTTGATTCAAGCTGAAAGAGACCGGGGAGGTGCAGGACTTGAGGAAGAAACTAGACATGTGAGAGCTGTGGCCCTGCAGATGGGAGAGGGGGTACAAGTGGAGGCCATTCTAGTGGGTGATTTCCTTCAGATTAAGACAGGTAGTATGTATATGGGGCAGGAGGAGAAGGGCATGGATGGGATCAGTAAAGAGGAAGACCTCCAGCCAAGGATGTCATTTTCTGAAGAAACCAACCCAGGGTAGGAAGGCATGAGCGTGATGAAGTACATGGAGACAAAGACAAAGCAAAGGAAAGGGCTCCTGGACCACAGGAACAGAAAATCAAACTGAAGAGTGCAGAGGACTGTCTCTATGAACTTTCAGAAAACACATGTTTGCTCCTCAAAGAAGGCCAAGGAGATGCTTCCCACCCAATGCTGGGTGCATCCCAAGGTGGATGTCTGCACTGATGCTGAAATAGAATGCATTGCCACCAAGGAAGCTAAAGCCTGGCTGCTAGCAGAGGATCAGAATAAGAAGAAAGACATTGAGACATCTTGTGTGCACCAACATGTGTGATTATGTGTGGTACCACCCATTTGATCCCAACGGCTCAATGCCCTCACAGAGAGAAACAAAGAAGAGTCCAAGGCCTGGCCCTAGAGTGGATGACACCAAGAAGCCTAAGCAGTCCCTTCCAAATCACCAGTGTCCTGCTAAAGAGAAGGCCACCGATGCCCATCACCATGAAGAGTTCAAGAAAAACGAACAGTCCTGAGAGCTGCTGAAGGGAAGATATGCAGGATGGGCTGTAAATAGCACCCCTCCCCTAATAAAAAAAGACTTCCTGGACCAAGGCCTACTGATTGGGAGTAGCAGACAGTCCCCCAAATCCACTCTATTAGTCCTGCTGCTCACCTGCCTGATTTCTCAAGCACTGGATGTGTAATCTTTTGAGACAAAACAATATTCAGTTTTCCTACTTGGAGGCAACTTCATTCTTAGGAGCATTGACATATATTTTGTATATGTATTACATACCGTGTTCTTATAATGAAGCAAGCCAGAAAGTGTTATTAAGAAAATCACAAGGAAGAGAAGATATATTTACTATTGATTAAGTGGAAATGGATCATTACAAGTTCTTCACCCTCGTTGTCTTCGCATTGAATAGGCTGAGGAGGAGGAAGAAGATAAAGAGTTGGTCTTGCTGTCTTAGGAGTGGCAGAGGAGGAAGAGGTGAAGCAGGTGGAAGGGGAGGCAGGAGAGGCAGGCATACTTGTAACTTTTATTTTTAAAAATCCACATTTAAGGGCCGGGCGCAGTGGCTCACGCCTGTAATCCCAGCACTTTGGGAGGCCGAGGCGGGCGGATCACGAGCTCAGGAGTTCAAGCCCAGCCTGGCCAACATGGTGAAACCCCATCTCTACTAAAAATACAAAAATCAGCTGGGCATGGTGGTGCATGCCTGTAATCCCAGCTACTTGGGAGGCTGAGGCAGAAGAATCGCTTGAACCCAGGAGGCGGAGGTTGCGGTGAGCCAAGACCGCACCACTGCACTCCAGCCTGGCAACAGAGCAAGACTCCTCAAAACAAAAAATTCACATTTAAATAGGCTTGTGCAGTTCAAACCCATGTTGTTCAAGGGTCAACTGTATGTGTGTTTGTGTGTGTGTATACACACATGGTACCACTCTCTTTTAACTTACTGTAGTCTATAATAATTTATGATAACCAGCAGTGAAAATCATCCCACTTTGTTCTTCTCTAAGATTTCCTTGACTATTATTTGTCGTTTGCATTTTCATACAAATTTTACAATCACCTTGCAAAACTTCACAAAATTCTACTGGAATGTTGACCAGAATTGCATTGAATCTAGAGATTAGTTTGAAAACAAAGTTCACATATTTACAAAACTTGGTCTTCTACTTCTTGAACTTGGTTTATTTCTGCATTTATTTATATTATCATTAACTTCTCTTAATGATGTGTGCTATGATTTGAATATAGTTTGTCTGGCCTCACAAAGTCTCATGTTGAAATTTGATCCCCAGTGTTGGAGGTGGGGCCTTGGTGACAGGTGTTTGGGTCATTGGGGTGGGATCCTTCGTGAATGACTTGGTGCCACTATAGCAGGAGTGAGTGAGTTCTCACTCAGTTGCTGTGACAACTATTGTTAAAAAGAACCTGGCACCTCTTTTCTCCCTCTCTTCTTCCCTGTCTCTCCATGTAATGGGTGGCTCCCCTTCACGTTGCTCTATGAGAAGCAGCTCCCTGAGGCCCTCATTAGAGGCAGATGCTGACATCGTGCTTCTTGTACAGACTGCAGAACGGTGAGCCAAATAAACCTCTTTTATTTGTAAATTACTCAGTCTCAAGTATTCCTTTGTAGCAACACAAATGAACTAAGACAATATGTTTTTTCCTTGATAAAAGTTATGTAAATCTATCATTAAATTTATTCCTTTGTATGTGATGCTTTGATACTGTTGTAAATGATATCTTTTTAAGGTTTTTTTTCAGTTTAATTGTTTACTTCAGTTATATAGAACTAAAATTGATTTTTGTGTGTGTGTGTGTTGTTTTCTATTAAAGTTATTTAAGGTCTTTCAGGTGCATCTCCATTACTCTGGGTATGTACAATTGATTTTATATCCAGTGGCCTTGCTAAATTCTCTTTCAATTCTAATATTTTAGTGAAAATTATCTTTGGATTTCCTACATGTATGATCATGTCTCTTGTGAGTAATGACATATTTGTTTCCTCCCAATCTCTAAACCTTTATTTACTTTATCCTTATTCTTTTGCACTGCCTAGGACATCCAGTGCCCTGCTGGCACCTTTTTCCACCCCATCACAGTCCTGTCGATCAACTAAAGGCAAACATTAGGAAGAGCATTCCCAGGAAAGGAGTGGGAAAGGGTTTCTTTCTAAGGCTGAGAGCAGAGCTGGCCTAACCTACACAGTTCAGGCTTTCTGTGGATAATATCTCTAAAGAAAAGATCTAGGGAAAGGTTTGAGTTTTCAGATAGCACTTACCTTTGGAAACTCAAGACCATGAGGAAATTAATTCCAACAAAGAATCTAAAGAGAGAATAGAGAACTCCCCTTTGCCCCAGCTGGACCATGTGTGGAGCTTTAACTCCTTTCCTTGCTCCATTTCCTTACTTACTGAATGTACCTTAGGGACAATGGTACAACACAATTGTTGCGGACTGAATTGTGTCTCCCTTTAAAATTTATATGTTGGAGTCCTAACCCTCAGTGCCTTAAAATGTGAGCTTATCTGAAAATAGGATTGTTGTAGACATCATTAGTTCAGAGGAGGTCATTAGGGTGGGCCCTAATCCAATATAACTGGTGTCCTTATAAAAAGGGGGAAATTTGGACACAGAGACACACACGTGTGCAAACAGAGGACCATGTGAAGATGAAGACAGAGATCAGAGTGATGCATCTACAAGCCAAAAGATGACAAAAATTGCCAGAAAACCAGCAGAAGCCAGGAGAGAAACATGGAACAAATTCTTCCCCACAGCCCTCAGAAGGACTCAATCCTGCCAACACATTGATCTTGGACTTCCAGCCTCCTCCATTCCCAAGGCAGCTGCCACAAATGGGTCTCTTTCTCTCTGCACCTCATGGGAGTGGTCAAAGCAGCCACAATCATTTCATCAGAGAGTTGGTTTGAGTTGAAATCTCCTTGTCATCTCTGCCTTAATGAGTATATAAAACTTTTTTTAGTAGAGGATATGAATAAATTTCATAGCTCATCTTTAAAAAGAATCATTAAAGCCCTATGAACTAAGATGTCCTTTTCACTAATAGATTAAGATTGAGGCTCCAAAAGATGGGTAGCTGTTTTTGTTTGTGCAAAAGCCTTGCAGCCTCTAGCAGTTTTCCCAGCACATAGTAGGTATTCAAAATTATTGACAGAATAATTGCGCAGAATTAGTCTTACCAAATAGAGCTAATGATGACAGTAATCAATGATAGGTCCAGCCTTACTCATGGATAGCATAGATAGTCATGGGCATGATGTATGTATAAGTTCTCCAGAGTTCCAATGAAACAACATTTCATATATATGTGTGTGTGTGTGTGTGTGTGTGCGCGCGCGTGTGTATGTGTGTGTATCTTGTATATATATCCAGAAAGAGAGACAGAGAGAGAGAGAGATTTATTTTAAGGAATTGCTGCACTGACAGATGTGCCTGTTTTTGCTATCTTGGGATTTCTTTCTGTTATTTTAAGAAAAACTCAGTGAGCTTGATTTTGAAAGCTGCTGCTTTGGCCATGGCTTAGTGTTTGAGGCTCAAAGTGTTGAAACTTCCTATAAATAGTATCCTTAGCGATGGGTCATCGCCATATGTATTGCTCCAACATTATGTTGGCATACATTTAAATGAAAGATTGATGTTGTTGACTACAGTTGCTTGTATGATTTGTGTTTGTAGTTGGCCTCCTTTTTATTTTTTTGTGAATGGTTGAGACCACAAGAAATGTTGTTTCACTGGGAAGAGAAAAAGAAAGGAGAAAATACTCATTACCAAACTCAATTTGATGACTTATGTTGGCATTCCCTAATGGGCTGCCTAACATGAGAAAGGGGAGAGGAGGTGTGTTTTTTGTCACAAGGTTTCTATTCCATGATTGAAACTATTTATCTTTTGAGGGAAAAAAGATTTATAATGTTTCCAGTAAAGTTGCCTGTATTAATCTATGTGAACTTCCATAATAAAATGTCATAGATTGAGTGGCTTAAACAACAGACATTTATTTTGCATAGTTCTGCGGGCTGAAAATCTATGATCAAAATCCAGCACTGTTTGGTTTCTGGTGAGGGCTCTCTTCCTGGCTTCTAGATTGCCACCTTCTCATGGTGTCCTTAGACGGTCTTTTCTTTGAGTGTACTTGGAGAGAGAGCTCTTTCTCTTCCTCTTATAAGGCCACCAACCTTGTGTGATTAGGGACCTACCCTTATGACCTCATTTAACTTTAATTACCTCCTAAAGGCCCTATCTCAAACTACAGTCACATTAGGGTGAAGGTTTCAATATTTTGGGGGGATAAAATTCAGTCCATGGCAGTTTCGATTACGTTATAAAATAATACTGTTTTTCAAAGGCATAAGAAACTAGCAAGGGAGAATCATTATGTATTCACAGAGTTGAAGGAAAAGAGGGGTGGTGTGGTAAAAATCGAAAATTATTTGCCACTTACCTCTCTCTCTTTTTATAGAGACAGGGTCTTGCTCTGTCACACAGGCTAGAGTGCAGTGGCACCAACATATTTCACTGGAGCCTCAACCTCCTGCTTCAGCCCCCTGAGTAGCTGGGAGTACCTATGTGTGCACTACCATGGCTTGTTAATTTTTCAAAAGAAATTTTTGTCGAGACAGGGTCTCATTATGCTGCCTAAGCTAGTCACAAACTTCTGGTCGCAAGCAATCCTCCTGGCTTAGTCAGCCTCCCAAAGTGCTGCAATTACAGGCATGAGCTACCACATCTGGCCTACTTTTCTTGCAATAAAATCCAGACACAGTTTTAGGGTTTCTTTCTGTGTGTAAAATATTGTGGTAAAATCTTTAGATTACTGACTTAATTTTTCAGGAAGTAAGAAGCATTTTAAGATAATGTACCACACATCTTCTCACACTGTGGTATGTGACGGTTAAAAATGCAGCAAAAAATATGGACCTTTACTTCACGAATTTAGAATTTTACTGGCAATATTGAGGTATGAGTTTGCTAATTCTCAAAGGAATCTTATATGTGTCTATTCAGGAATAGTAATTTGATTATTTTGAATAAATGTGCCTGATGACAGTGTATTAGTCAATTTTCATGCTGCTGATAAAGACATACCAAGACTGGGAAGAAAAGGAAGTTTAATTGGACTTATAGTTCCACATGGTTGGGGAGGCCTCAGAATCATGGTGGGAGGTGAAAGGCACTTCTTACATAGTGGTGGCAAGAGAAAATGAGGAAGAAGCAAAAGCAGAAAGCCCTAATAAACCCATCAGATCTTGTGAAACTTATTCACTATCATGAGAATAGCATGGGAAAGACTGGCCCCCAAGATTCAATTATCTCCCCCGGGTCCCCCTTCACAACACATGGGAATTCTGGGAGATACAATTCCAGTTGAGATTTGGGTTGGGACACAGCCAAACCATATCACTCAGTAAAGTGAAAAGTTTGATTTTCAAAAATTTCTTGTCTTGATTTGTTACAGGCCTAATTGACCAAATGAATTAATCTTTTGTCACAATGATGGCAAATTCTGTCAGTCCAATGATTGGTCACACATTCTATTTGCACTCTATGCAAGCATATTAGCTTTTCTTTCTTGAAAAATCAGTGTCTTCCTTGGCAATAAGAGGATGAAGGGGGAAATTTTATTTCGAATAATGCCATGTTTAAGAACTCGACAAATCTTGGGTCAGATTCATTCTCCCCTCCTGGAAGGCTGAACCAGGAAGTAGAGCCCAGCAATGTTGAATACTCATTAACTCTTCCAGATCACTCTTCCGGTCCCATTCAGTCAATTGCTACTTCAGACCCTTGGTTTCTGGAGAGAACCTGACTCATTCTCACTCTGCTTTAATCATCCTCTGAAAGTGGGCTGTGGGCCTGGAGCAAGGGTGAGTAAGGACATGTCAGCGCTCCTCTCAATCCAAGGGATACTAGGTGCAGCTGAGTTGGTAGCTCACATCCCTGCTGTGGCTGTAAAGGGAGGGAAGATGGCACTTTATCATGAACTTGCAGTAAAGGTGAAGGACAGCTCTTCCAAAAGAGGGGCAGCTGCTAATCTCAAGATCAGATTCTGTGACACTGTTGTCACTTTGCTCAGTCAGGCACAGATACAGTTTTATGCATTGATGTGGTTAGAGCTTGCCAGAAACCAACCCAAGGGTGTGCTATCTTGCTTTCTTTTTCTTTGTCTTTTGGGGTAAGTTACATCTACCGTTTCAGTCTATGGAAGCTGGCGGTCTTAAGCAAAGCCACACTTACTTCCTAAGCTGTTCAACAAATCAAAACCCTGTTCAGAAAGGCAGGAGGAGCCAGGTGCTGGGTGGGGAAGTCTTCCTTCACTGCCTGGCTGGACTCAGAAGCCCTCCAGTGCACTGCAGCAGAGAAGACTTTGATCTCAAAGTAATTTTCACCTTGATCTCATCTATAGGCCCTGAAGACTCTTCCTGGGTGTCTGTCAATGCAAGGAGTGGGCCTTGGCATTTGTTGTAACGAACTGAAAAATGACCACAAATCACCATCTTCCGTGTTGATGGGGACTATTTGTTTAACGGCATTGCTTAGGCCATTAAAAGACCCCTCGGGAATCAGGAAGGGGTGAAGATTTGAAACATTTTCATCCTTGGTTCAAGACAATAGAATTTGAAGATGCCTTTACCCCACTGATGTGGATATCAAGAGTATCCAGGGTGAGAGGTCACAGAGTCATCCGCCTGACTGCGTCTGCATGAGCAAAGATAGACAGGATGAGACTGAAAATTCTTCGCTTCATTCATTTCTGTATTTCTGGGCCATGCCCTCTAACAATTGCAAAGATGAACTGCAGCGAATTGGAATGACCTAACATTTCTGTGACATCTGATTCTGTTGTACCTGAACATCCCAGAGACCACACCGCTCAAGGGAAATGTATATTTGAAAAATATCTTGTGAATGTCTCTAAGCCAGAAAATAAAAATGGACTTTTCAGAGCTAGCAGAGATCCACTTTCGAGCCTGATGCAGCCTCTCTGGTGATTTATAATGCATTGACAGTATTCCCCAGATAATTCTTAGAGCCCTCCATTACCACCCAATGAATAGAGGCCATCTCACTGGGGTGTCAGCGAGGTTGAAATTTGCTAAGAATTTACTAGCCCAGAGAAATGCATGAGAGAGAAGTGCCAGATGATACATCTGGAAGAGACCACTGCTGATTCTACAGATGCAAAATCCCATGCAGTCAGGGTAGTGACTTACCTGGGACCACACAGCTAACCATGGCAATGGAGGACTAGCGTTCAGGTCTCTGAACACCCAGCTTTGTGTTTAAAGACTGCACTGACCACTAGGAATAACAGGTCTGGTTAATGCACCATTGGCCATTCTGACAATGCTTTACTAACTGCCTGAGATAGACCAAGACTTCCTTCAGCAGTCAGGAAGTCAGAAGAGCAAGGAAGCAATTTGGCTCTACAGGGTGGAGACAAAATGCCTTTTCAATAGGTTGCTAAGTTCTCCATTTAACAAGAGCCAAAGAAAAAGTTCATACCAAAAACACCTTATAAACAAAATTCATCCTTTATACAGACATCTGCTCTTCTTCAGGGGGGCTGCGGGCCATTAGGGCCATGTGCTTGTCACGACGCTTGCAGCAGATGTTTGCTAATACTTTAAGATCTCCCTGTGATGTGGTTATTGTTTAATTCTCCTGTAAGGAGAGTTTTGCTCAAATTAAACAGGAAGGCTTAAATGCGAACTAGGGTGCAATGTCCTGCTGTGCATTTGTTACAGTGGCACATCAAAGCTCTAAGAAAGGGGCTTGGGGTTTTCTTCAAGTTCACCAGAGGCCCCAAAGCACTATGCCATGGTGAGTGAGAGAAGCTGTGTCTCATTTTCGTATGCATTTATGTTCAACTACATTGCAGGGTTGTTCTGTTAGCCCTATTGTGCCTTTTGTTTAAAAGGCCAGACTGCTTTGAAGTGAGCTGGCAGAGCATGATGACAGAGGGCCACTCAGGCAGGGCCCATGGCCAGAGCCTGGAAAGGCAGTAGGAAAAGCTGTATTCTTCATGCCTGACCAGGTCTCTGCACTTCACATGAGCAAATGGAATCACTTTAAGAAAGGACTATTAGAAAGCCAAATGTGAGATGAAAAATGACTGTCCATTGTGACCCATGTGTGCTGAGACTGAGAGAGGAATCAATGGTGAGATCAATAAATATTTTATCAAGCACCTCCCTTGGTCAAGAAGCAAAAGACTGGGCAATGTTTGCTCTCCTGGGGGGATTACAATTTTAAATCCACTCTCTTACCACCTAGGAGCTAGACAGAACATAAACATGTTAGAAATTAAAGCGTGAAGGTTGAAAAAATATTTCAAGAAGAGAACAGAAGAGGGAGAGTGATTCACTAAATGAACAGTCTGTATTTGCCATGGGTCCAGGGAGAAAGAGTCTGGTCTGGCCGGGTAAAGCTTTCCTGGAGAGGAGAAGCTTCTCTAGTGGGAAGCAGTTGGTTTGGACTTTACTGGATGGTATTAGTTTCTGTGTCACATCCATGTTTATGAAAAAGTAAAGCCTTATTACTCTTCGTAAGGAGTTAAGAGCCACCTGACTGCCACAGACATTAATTCCTTTGTGATGGGATCCAGTGCAAATGAAAGCACATGATTAATGATGGGATGGTCTTATTCTTAGGTGGCAGCAAGGCTCACAATTTTTCACATTCACATACGTGACTGCATGGATTTTCTAACTAATAATTTGCCACCCACAGCAACACCTAGACAATGGATCTCCACTCACTCTCCCTTGTCACTCAGAAAAAAATCCACATGATTCTCAGGTTTAAATCCCATCAAGGTTATGATTCAGGTTCTCTTGGCTCCAGGCCTGATCCTCCTCTTTCCCTTCCAAATAATTATCCAGGTTCACAAAAATGGACATTTGTGGAGCTCTTGCCTTTTTCTGTCTTGGAAGAACCAGCAAGAATCTACCCTTTCCCAAACTTCCATTCACTCATTTATTATTTTTTTTTATTGAGCACTAGCTATGTGTCAAGCACTGTACTAGGCACAGTAGATTCCATAATAAAAACATTGGAACATAGTGAAGTGAAGGGATAGAGGTAAGCAAAGAGGTTATGATGATACTGTCTGTGATGTGCAGTGATAAAGGGAGGACACAGCAGGGGGCTCTGGTTCCTGACTTGGGGTGTAAAGAAGGTATCCGTATTAGTCTGTTTTCATGCTGCTGATAAAGACATACCAGAGACAGGGCAATTTACAAAAGAAAGTGGTTTAATTGGACTTAACAGTTCCACGTGGCTAGGGAAGCCTCACAATCGTGGTGGAAGGCAAGGAGGAGCAAGTCACGCCTTACATGGATGGCAGCAGGCAGAGAGAGAGAGCGTGTGCAGGGGAACTCCTCTTTTTAAAACCATCGGATCTCATGAGACTTATTTACTCTCATGAGAACAGCAGGGGAAAGACTTGCCCTCATGATTCAATTACCTCCCACTAGGTCCCTCCCTCAACACATGGGAATTCAAGATGAGATTTGGGTGGGGACACAGCCAAACCATATCAGTATCCCAGGAGGTGATGTCAAAGCTGAACCTGAGTGAGCAGAGCAGGAGGTGGTCAGGCAAAGTTGGACGGAGCAGAGGGCATTCCGACTACCCAGGCTTGCATAGGAAACACCTGGAGGCATGGTGGTCCTGTTGTAAAAGCCCAAATGCTGTTTCAGAGGATGGAGCCAAAAATGAGGCCATGGAGAAGAGCAGGGGTCAGTTGCTGAAGGCCGTATAAGAATGTCAAGAGTTTTGGCTCTCATGAGGGGACCAGGGCACTAACAGAGAGTTAGAAGTGCCGCATTGCAACAAGCTCAGAGTGACTTGCCATTTAACACTCACTGGGCACATTAATCTCTCTCAGCATTTTAAAGAAATGACTGCATCCCAGTGAAGTGTTAGCTGACTCACAGAGGAGCAAAGGTTTTCTCATTTTACAGGTGAGGAAACTTGAGATACATGGAGGTGCCAAGGCTCATGGAGTTCGTACAGGAACCAAGAGTAGAAGGTGAACAATCAGCAAAGTTTGTGACAGGAGAGGGGAAATGTGATAAGGGCAAAATTAATGTACCGTCCAAGCTGAACTAAGCTAATGCACAGCATAAATTCTTTGAATGATTTTTTTAAACCAAACTCTTTGCTTGAAACTTAATCAGGAATTTACTGCGGGACATTGAAGGTCAAGGTTTTAGAGTGCCACTACAAATAGCTCTTATCCTGAGTCCTAGTAATACAGCCAGACTAGGCAGTGTGTCAAAACCAAGAGCTCCCTTTGCTATGTAGAAATGCAGAAGGGAGAGCCCAGCATCACTTGAAACCAGAGGCAGATAGACAGTGGTCTTTCCCCTTGAGTGTACAAAGAGGTAATAACAGGATCCACCTCCTCACATGAGGACATGTGAGTTAATACATGTTGTAGTGTATTGAGCAGAACCTGGCATATGATAAGTGCTTGATTTGTTAGCTGTTCTTTCCTGTGTGTTCCCTTAAAGATACAGGTATACAGTTTGAGAAACATGGTGGTACAGGAGTCTTCTAAAAGCACACAGCTTTTCTGTCATCTAGCAGTGCTATAATTGTGTAGTTAGGCAAATGGAATCAAGCTTGACAAGGAAGACGCTGTACCAAGTGTCCCTCAATACCCAGCACTTCTTCATCCCAACAGCATTCACCATGCACCTCCCAAACATTCACTGGTGTTAATGTGGAAGTGCAGAGCATTGGCTTCTGGTGTGGATCATCAGAAACAGGTGGCCAAATAAAAATGGACAGAATCTGTCCCATGTGAAGAGGGAGTAAGCTGAAAGTGTGGTGTCCGGAAATTATTGTAAATTTTATTGCATTTGTAATTTCATGTTATATGTGATTTAATTAAACATATAATATCTAATAAAAGTCCCTGGGAATCCAGATATCTGAGTTACACGTAAAAAGAAGGAAGAAAATATATTTTTTTACTTAAAAAGCCACCCTTTTCAGTGACTTATGTCAGATTATTATTATTATTATTATTATTATTGAGACAGAATGTCGCTCTGTTGCCCAGGCTGGAGTGCAGTGGTGCAATCTTGATTCACTGTAACCTCCGCCTCCCAGGTTCAAGCGATTCTTGTGCCTCAGCTTCCTGAGTAGCTGAGATTACAGGTGCACTCCACGTGCCTGGCTAATTTTTGTATTTTTAGTAGAGACAGGGTTTCACCATGTTGGCCAGGCTGGTCTCGAACCCCTGACCTCAAGTGATCCACCCACCTTAGCCTCCCAAAGTGCTGAGACTACAGGTGTCAGCTTCTGCGCCTGACCAACTTATGTCAGTTTAACAGGTCCATGCTGTCTGCCCTTCATTTTCTGACTAATCCTTTGTAGCAATCTCTGAACCATCAATTCAATGAGGCATTAAGAAATAAGAGACTTCACCATTTTGTAGAAGCCTTTGGCATTTAGATGGGCTCTCCAGGGTGTAACTCACACAAAAACAACACAGATTAATATGAAACATGTTATAAATGGAAACAAACAAACATACACACAAATGTATATACCAGATGACATTCCAGAATAGGCAAAATGAAACTATTTTGGTAAAAATCAGAAGAGGGGCTGTTTGGGGTGTGTGTGGACGAGGGATTGTCTAAGAAGGGGTACAAGGAAACATTCCTGGGTGATAAAAATGCTGTATTGATATGCATTTGTCAAAACGAATTGAGGGGTAGGTATCCTTTATTTTAAAAAGTGGCTATCTCAGTAGGGTTGCTATGTGGATCAGCTGAGATAATGCCTGTAATGCGTTAAGCATACAGCCTGATGCATAATAAACGCATTTTCCCAAGCAATATTAGAAGCATCTGGTTCCAAAATAGAAACCATAATAAGCTAAAGAGAAACAGGTATTGTAAAAGTTATCTATCTGTTTAAAACTTCTCCTGAAATCCCAAAGAGTAGAGTTATTATGAAAGCAACTGGGCGGAGAAAAAAGAGCTTCAAAGGAAATGAATTAAGGGGAGCAGGAAGAAGGAAAATAGCCTCTCTCAAAGAGATAGGAAGAAAGGGAAGATTAATTTTCTTTCTAACTTAAAATTGTCTTTTGTTTGTATAATTAAACTACTGCTTATTTGTAAAACCTAGTAGATAGGCAAAATGTGCATGTTCTAAGTTTGCAATTTAACAAAACATGTTTTAAATAAAGCAAGAAAAGCATTAATTATAAGTTGTTGTTTTTAATTGCAGGAGGAGACCATGAGGTAATTTAGTAAAGTGTTTCAGTCTTCTAAAAAGGGCTCAAGGCTTAAATTCATGAGTAGATTAAAAGTAATTTATAACCATATAAACCTACACAGATGCCTAGATACTCTTGAACCCAGAGACCACTGGAACAATTCAAACCTTCTGGCACAGAGGAGAACTAAGTTAGCCTTTATAATGTGGAAAGGAAACTTGAGAATGTTTGCCTCACCCAAAAAGAAGTGAGATTAGAGCAAAAGTGCAAATTTCTGCCATATTCCTTGGTGTAAAAGTGGTTTTGAAATGTAATTTGAAATAAACTCATGGAGCTCTTTATTTCTAAACCCTGTGCAACGTCTGCCTATGTCCCTTCTTCCTACTTTTGTTTTCTTTAGTTTTTGCAGGAAGATTTACACAAATGGGCTCCCCAAGGTATACCCAAGACTAGTCCTGGCTCTGAACCAACTATGGGTTGGTATTAATTTATTGTCTTGCCAACTAGTCCTGGGACAAAGGGTGTCATCATAGGCACATAAGGTGTTCCCTAACCCATCCAGGCATGGATTGCATGCAAAGGCGGAGCCTCTGCAAAGCAGAGTGACAGTAGCAGGCAGCAGGCAGACCAGCCACACACAGCCGCCATCAATTGTAAATGAGATGGTGCTCCTTGTGTCAAATATCTGATGGGTACACTGCTGAGCTGTAAACTTGACTTGTTCTACAAGTGGGAACTCTGTGACAAAGATGAGTCATTCCACTTACACAAAATATAATGGTTTGTAGACCCTGCGTCTGTCTTTCCTGGCCTGTCCTGGTAGTGGACTTGCTAAAATGACTATTTGTTGGCCCTTGATGGTTAGACACAGAGGAGGTGGTGGTGAAATGTTCTTTAGGCGAGAATGGCAGTTGGAACTGTTGTGATGGAACTGGATTCCCTGAATTCACTGAGGATGATGGGATCCTGGTGGATCAGTGAATCAAGCTGAAGCTCTGAATCTCAGACGAGGACAGGTGGTGATGGGGAGCAGAGCCCAAGCAGCCACCAGAGTAGTCTAACCTGTAGTGTCTTTGGTGTTGATCGTGGTGTCCTTGAAACTGAAGTAGTTGAGCAGCTTACTGAAATCTTCACCTGTATAGGCAAGAAAGCTTTACATCTGGGGAATAGAAGTCTAAATTGGGTCACCATGATAGACTGTTGCAACCTCTTGTCTAACTGTCAGACTCGAGTCAATTCAGGGCCTGGACTAGAGTGAGGCAAGAAGGCATCTGGGGTGCAAAACTTCAGAAGGCGCCCACTCCCAGGGTCATGCAGGTGCCCACAGGCAGGTGCCAACAGTAATCATCTCCTTAAGTTGTGTGCAAGAGTCCCTCTCTTACCTTACCCTAGTCCCAGGCCGAACAGAGCCCCTTGAATGAAAGAGAGGTCAAGCCTTCTGGAGGAAGTCCTGCTTTATGGCAGAAATTTACACTAAATCTCCCTCCTAGCCTCCTTCAAAAGAACCTAGGGCCATTTACAAGAGTGACTATGTGTTGAGGAAGGGTAAATAATCAAACTTTTCAGGGAATACTGAACACGGGCTCTAAATGGAAATTAATTTCTGGAGCAAAAACATTACTCGTAAGAAGAGGGGCTTGTGAAGGTCAGGTGATCAATTACAATTCTATGTAAGTCCATTTCATCATAGACTTGGTCAGACCCATCCTTTGGTGATTTCCCCAGTTCAGACTGCAAAACTGGGATACATATACTCTGCAACTGGCAAAACCCTGACATGGGTTCCGTGACCTGTGAAGTGGAGATGCTATGGTAGGAAAGACCAAAAGACAGCCACTAAAGCTGCCTCTACTTAGCAAGTAGTCAACTAACAGCAAAGCTACATTTCTGGAGGAATTTTAAGATTCATGCCACCTAATCAGGGACTTGAAAGATGGAAGATAGTGATTCCTACCATGTTCCATTCCACTCCCCTATTTGACCTATACAGAAAACAGGTGAATCTGTGAGAACGACAGTGATTATTGCAAATCTCATTATACTATGACTTCAAGTGCAGGTATTATTCCAAATGTAGTTTTATTGCCATATCAAATCAATACTTCCCTAGCAAGTGTATACAGGCATTGATCTGACAAGTGCTTTTTTCTCTACACCTGTTATCAAGGACCATAAAAGCCATTTTCTTTCAACTAGCATGGTCAGAAACATACCTTCACTATCCTATCTCACAGCTATATCCACTCTCTAGTCCTGTGTCATATTTTAGTCCTCAGGGAACTTTATCAACTTTCCATTCCACAGGACAACAAGCTGGCCCATTACATTGGTAATATCATGCTGATTTTTCCCGGGTGAACAGAAAGTGAACAGAAAGCAACAACTGTTGGGAAATAACTTTTTTTTTTCATATTTCTACAGGCCTTGCAAACAGAGGAACTGACTGACTTTGTTCTAAACTACATTTTCAAGGAAGTTTGTATAGTGACTAGACTTGGAAGAAAGACACAGTGTCTCCCTCCAAAGCAAAAGTTAGGCATGCATACTGTACAGTATAATAATAATGATGCCTGCTTCTGGAGCAAAGGGCAGATATGCTTACTGCCCATTATAAAAGACTCAGGTTCCTAAAGCTCAGGGTTTTGTTCCTGTAATGGAATCCAATGTGTGTACATGTGTCACATGATCCTTTTTGTGTTGCTCTGTAGGAAGTGGGGCTTGGGGAACTGGTGCAAGAAATGCTGATATTCTGGTTACCATTATTGCTATGAGGAATAAAGTCCTTTGTCTCTGATTCATTAGTCTCATGTCTTCTACTGACCTCCATGAAACTGTGACAAGTAACTTGTTATCTTACAAGGAGGGTGAAATCTCAGAAGCTTCAGAATCCTTGACAGCAGTTACTCCAGATATCTCAATATGACACAAAAGATGGGAAAAGAATCCCACAAAAATCCAGGGGGTATAACAACCACCCTGAATAAATTTCTAGGAGAACAGTTGTTTCACTCTGTCAAGAAATCCCTTCCAAGAAAAACAAGTGGCTGCATCTGGCCTTTTTTTTTTTTTTTAGAGGAGTTTCGCTCTTTCACCCAGGCTGGAGTGCAATGGTGCAATCTTGGCTCACCGCAACCTCTGCCTCCTGGGTTCAAGCAATTCTCCTGCCTCAGCCTCCTGAGTAGCTGGGATTACAGGCATGCACCACCACACCCAGCTAATTTTGTATTTTTAGTAGAGTCGGGGTTTCAGCATGTTGGTCAGGCTGGTCTCGAACTCTTGACCTCAGGTGATCCATCCGCCTCAGCCTCCCAAAGTGCTGGGATTACAGGCATGAGCCACCACACCCTGCTGGCCTCTCTTATCACTAACAAAGAGACAACACATACCTCATCTGCACTTGCTACTCCAACCCATTTATTAAATATTCTAAAAAATGGCCAGTTTTAGATGGGACCAAAAACACTATCCATGGAATTATAGAAAGGTTTATTCACCATCATTCTGTTATTTTACACAGCACAGCTCCTGACTATAGGATTCACTTTTCAGGACATGAAATGAGGCAAATAGATTCCTGCCTCTAGAATCCCTCATCTTAATGTGTTTGAAGCCCTTGGCTTCACAAAACAATGAAATGCCTTTTGGAAACTCAGTAGGATGGCATACAGTGTGGCATATATAGATGGCATATATATTTAGAACATAATATATGTTCTAAATCAGTGACCATCATATTGTTATTTTTCCCATAGCCAGAATTCCTGGGGCTGGAAATCAAGGGTGGAAATGGGAGTGACTTTTCTCACTCTTATTCCTAGTAAAATATTTTTTCTTCCGTCTCTATGAATTTAGTCTCTGCTGGTCAGGACACTTTGTTCCCAGGGGATAAATGTTTCCATAAGAAGGTACATCAGTGGTTTTATTAAAAGGGAAGCTAAGAGGGGCCGGGCACGGTGGCTCATGCCTGTAATCCCAGCACTTTGGAAGGCTGAGGCGGGTGGATCACGAGGTCAGGAGATCGAGATCATCCTGCCCAACATGGTGAAACCCCTTCTCTACTAAAAATAAAAAATTAGCCGGGCATGGTGGCAGACTCCTGTAGTCTCAGCTACTTGAACTAAGTGAACTCTGTAGTCCCAGAGTCTCACTCTGTCACCAGGCTGGAGTGCAATGGCACGATCTTGGCTCACTGCAACCTCTGCCTCCCAGGTTCAAGTAATTCTCCTGCCTCAGCCTCCTGAGTAGCTGGGATTACAGGCGTGCACCACCACACTCCGCTAATTTTTGTATTTTTAGTAGAGATGGGGTTTCACCAAATTTTTGTATTTTTAGCAGAGATGGCCAGGATGGTCTCGATCTCTTGACCTCGTGATCTGCCCACCTCGGCCTCCCAAAGTGCTGTGATTACAGGCGTGAGCCACTGCACCCAATCTGTGTGGGTTTTTTTTTTTTTTTTTTTTTTTTTTTTTGTGAGATGGAGTTTTGGTCTGTTGCCAGGCTGGAGTGCAGTGGCGCAATCTCGGCTCACTGCAATCTCCACCTCCTGGGTTCAAGTGATTCTCCTGCCTCAGCCTCCCGAGTAGCTGAGATTACAGGCGCCTGCCGCCACACCCAGCTAATTTTTGTGTTTTTAGTAGAGATAGATAAAAGGACTTTTTATCCTTTTTGGGGAGGAGGGTTAGCAAGTTTGTTTCCCTTGTACAAGGAATTGCTGCATCATTCTGGGCAGAAGAATGATCTCACCATCATCTTTACTTGGAGCTCCAGTTTGGTTACGTGCAGTGTATGCGGAAGCCGCCTAGACATTGGGAAGGCTGTGATGACTTTGGACTGTCTCAACCTAATGAAGGTGAAGTTACATTTTCCAGAATTCCCTCCACTGTACTTCTGGGTTAGCTTCGGCCACAGGAAGCATCTTGTGTAAGACTTAAAGGCAGCAGTAGAGGAGCAGCTGTGTGTTTCGCCCTTGGAGAGCCAGTTCAATCCCAGGGGCCTGGGGCAGCTCTGCATGTCTTTACTGATCAACCAACCAGCTCTCTTGTTGCTGTGGGGACACCTGGACTCTTGGCTCCTCCTTCAGCTCCTCCAGGCCCTGGGCCCATGTGTGTAGCTTTGAGGCAAAGGTGCCAGAATCTCCCAAAGGCCACCCACATCACCGAGGCAGGAAATGGTGTGAAACAGGCTCCAGTCTGTCCTTGTCCTCATTGTCTCTAACAGTTTCCCTTCCCAACTGCAGCTTGATGGACCTTTAGGGACAGCAGGCTCCACACTGGACACAAGAGGCAAGCTGGCCCCACCAGCTCCCACAACTGTGTAAGGATGAACCTTATGATAAATGCCTGACTCCCTCACCCAGAAACTCAGTTTCTCTGATCAAAGTATATCTGGCACAGAAGGCAAGACTATTAGTGGAGTCATCTTTAAATAGAGAGAATTTCTTAAGAGAGGAAATGGACTTGAAGGAGCCAGAGAAGTAACCCGTGTGGCAGTGAGAGGTTTTTCAACGCCACGGAGGCAGAGCATTGGCTAAGCTCCTTCGCCTGGGCAGGCCCCTCAGCGAGAGTGAGTGAGAGTGTCTGTCCATGGATGTGTGAATGAGTGAAGGGCCATTTACACGAGAGAGTAGGAAGGCCATCTGGCTCTGACCTCAAATGCTCTCCCAACACACAATCACAGCAATCACACAATGACAGGAACTGAAGATGAAGACAGATATCATACAACTTTAACTCAGAACAAGCTACTTGAAATCATTACCAGATCACATCACTCATGGTGATGGTTAATTGTATGTGTCAACTTGGCTGGGCCAAGGTGCTCAGATATTTAGCCAAACGTTTTCCTGAAAGTTTCGGTGTGGGTGTTTTTGGATGAGATTCACATTTAAATTGGTGGACTTTGAGTAAAACAGATTGCCCTTCATAATGCGGGTAGGCTTCATTCAATCAGTTGAAAGCCTGAATAGAATGAAGACTTACCTCCTCGTTCAAGAAGAAATTATCTAGCCTAACGGCCTACTCTGCAGATTTTGTGTGGGCCAATTTCTTAAAGCAAATCTCTCTCTCTCTCTCTCCCCATCCTATCAGTTCTGCTTCTCAGGAGAACCCTGACTAATGCACTCAGTAAGCTATAAATTAAATTTTGAATAATTGTTGCAATCATTTTGTGAAAAGCATAGTTATATGGGATCCCATTTCTGTTTTAAATTTTAATTTGGGGCCGAGGGTGGTGGCTCACGCCTGTAATACCAGCACTTTGGGAGGTGAGGTGGGTGGATCACTTGAGGTCAGGAGTTCAAGAGGAGCCTGGCCAACATGGTGAAACCCCATCTCTATTAAAAATACAAAAATCATCCAGGCATGGAGGTGGGCACCTATTATCCCAGCTATTCAGGAGGCTGAGGCAGGAGAATTGCTTGAACACGGGAGGCAGAGGTTGCAGTAAGCTGAGATGGCGCCATGGCACTACAGCCTGGGCAACAGAGCAAGACTCCATCTAAAAATAAATAAATAAATAAATAAAATAAAATAAATTTTAAACTGTTAAAGGTAATTTTAAAAAAATTACACAATATTTTATAATCCTCTTCTACTACCCTTCCTTTAGCTCACTCTGATCCAGCTATACTAGCTTCCTTCCCATTCCTTAAATATACCTCAAAGACCTTGCATTTGCTATTCCTTCTGTTGGGAATACTGTTCCCTCAGCTTACTGCATGATTTGCTCCCTTGCTTTCTTCAGAACTTCAGTCAACTGTATTTGCAGTGAAGCTTTTCCTCCCCTCGACTCATCTTAAGCAGAGCTGCAGATGTGGTGCAGTCCGTGCATGCACATCTGTGCATGAGAGAAGGTCTCCTCTCAGCTCACCCAGCATCTCCTGTGCCACACGCAGACTTTCAGCTGCTTTCCCAATTCAGTGCACAGAGCCCACATAAAGGGTTATGGCTATGCCTTTTCTTTAGTGACAGCCATTTTCAGGGCAATTACTGATCCGCAGTGGTAATGGATCTAAAGATGCCTCGATACATTTGAATTTCAGCAAAGCACTCGGTAGTCACATAGGGAAATGAAATCAAATCAAGTTATGCATTAGAACAGGCCAGAAGATGTCCTTCCTTCACCCGATACAATGCATGTGTAGGGCATGAGTGTCCTTATTCCTGGCCATGCCTGAATCCCACAACATAATGTGTTTGTGTGTGTGTGCGTAGAAGTGGGGGTGTATATGTGCATATTTTCAAAAATGTTATTTATAATTTGGAAGACACTACATACAGAAAAGTATTGTGATGAAATTTAACTCATTTTCCCACAATTCACCCACATGACCATTACTCTTTCTGATGACTTTTTTCTGATTATTTTATGCAGCTGTTTTAAATTTTATTTTTATACACTTGTAATTACATTGCACATGTAATATCCTATGCTGTTTCGTGTACTCCACATTATTTCATAAGCATCTTTCCATCCTATCAGTTAGACTTTTTTTCTGATTGCCAAGGACTCTAACGATACTGAGACTTTATAATTTCATATGCCCCGAGGCAGGGCTGGCTTTGGGTGAGAGTAATTCGGTGGCTCAAACAATTACAAGGAACTTGGCTCCCTTTGTCTCTCTGCTCTGGCTGGACATGTGCTATCTGGCACAGAAAGAGGCAAACTCTGTCTCCTATTCATAAGGTGGGCAATTCCCCAAACATAGGAAAGAGTTTAGATGCTTGGCGGCTAAAATGAATGTTAAATTTGTACTATGATATTTCATAAGACTATTGTGAAATGTTGAATGAGACAATATGTGTACATGCTCAGCACAGTGTGTGGCATGTAGGAAGTGAGCCTGATAAACTTTCAGTTTTTTGATAATGATGATAAGAGAAGGAGAAGCTGCTACTTGAGGATGATGAAACTCTACAAGCCTCACTTGTATCTCGACACATCAGGGAGAGGCAACAAGCACTTAGGCTCACCAGCAGGTCACTGGGTCAATTTAGAAGGAATACAGGAACAGAGGGAGAAGCTAAACAATGCCGTGGTGATATAAACACCAAAAACTGTGTGTTCGTATCTGCTGTGAAAACCGTACAGGACAAACCACTGGTTTCTTTAACAAAGAAACTAAGGAAAAAAGATCAGATGAAGGAGGTCTTTTATATTAACGGGATACAAAATGCATCACCAACTTGCAATGTATGAACCTTAAGCAGATCTAACTCAGTGCACAAGGGTCCTAATTGCTCCGTATCCTCATCAACACTTGTTATTTTCTGGGTTTTGTTTGTTTGTTTTGATAGTAGCCACCCTAGTGGGTGTGAGGTATCCATAGTGTTGATTTTTATACAGATTTTACTTGTATCATTAACTAATTGTGTTATGTGCATTGATGTGTTTTTAAAATTAGATTATAAGTATTTTTAGGGCAAAGACCCTGTTGTATACGTCTTTTATTACCCAAAAATGCCTAATAAGCACTCTGTACTTACTAGAGGTGATCGGTATGATTGTTGACACTGCAATTCTATCTGTTCAGAGTGCTAGTGTGTGCAGTAGACTGCTACTATACGTTTGTAATTTTTTCCCCCAAAGACCTTTAACACAAAGGAGGAGTTCAAAAATGTTCCACTGAAAAATGAACTACGGAGTTTAGAAATTCATTTAATTAGCAAGCATTAATTGAACATCTAGATACTGGGAATTGAGTAGTGAATAAACCTCATTTAGTTCCTCTCTCATGAAGGTTTTTTCATTTTAGCAGAAGTGGAAGTCATTAAATAAATTTAAACAACTCATCATTCAATTACAATCATAAGTGAAATGAACTAGAAGTTCAGGAGGCTACAGGACGCTTGGTGTGGAGGCAAAAGCAGCTCCATCTTGGATGTTCATCCATCCGCCATGTTGACTTCTGATTAACACTCATTCCAGGAATACCTCTAAGATTTCTACTTCCTGCCGGGCGCGGTGGCTCAAGCCTGTAATCCCAGCACTTTGGGAGGCGGAAGCGGGCGGATCACAAGGTCAGGAGATCGAGACCATCCCGGCTAACACGGTGAAACCCCGTCTCTACTAAAAATACAAAAAATTAGCCGGGCGTGGTGGCGGGTGCCTGTAGTCCCAGCTACTCGGGAGGCTGAGGCAGGAGAATGGTGTGAACCCGGGAGGCAGAGCTTGCAGTGAGCCGAGATCACGCCACTGCACTCCAGCCTGGGCGACAGAGCGAAACTCCGTCTCAAAAAAAAAAAAAAAAAAAGGTTTCTACTTCCACCTACTTACTGTGAATGCTGCTCTTAGGTCAAAACAACCTTGATGTTACTGTAAACACATATTTACCATAAATCCTGTCCTTAGGCAAATTCCTTATGCTATACAAGCCCTGGGTCTGGCAGTAACATGCAGGGATCCACCATCACATCTTGCAGCCACCTAAGACAAGGTTTCTGTTCCTAAGTCCCTAGTAAATGCTTCTTGATGGGAAACTGGATTTGTCAGCCTCTTTCTTTGGCTTCTCAGCTCCCTTGGCCTTTAGGGGTAGGTTTGCACAGACCTGTTCACTATGAAACACTTGGTGTGTTCTAGGGGGTCAGGAATGATAAATACATGTTAGCTAGGGGAAGATGATATGGGAGAGAGCCTTTAAAGTGGCAGAAACAGCATGTGCAAAGGCCCTGTGACAGAGAGGAGTGTGGTCCCCTTGGGCATATGAGAATAGTTTGCATCTCCCCCATATGGAGCAGGAGCTCTAGGAAAGTCAAAGATTGGCCTATTGCTCCCATACAACAATGCCATCACCTCTATTCTCGTGCACTAAGGTTGTATGGAGACATTCTTAGCACCTTGCTAGACTGCTTCCAAGCACGACACCCAGCAGCCAACTATCCTTAGATCTTCAAATGTAAGGGTTCGTGGGGCAGTGAACAGGGTGAGGCACCAGTTATCTTCTTTTCCCAGCAAAGCTTTATGCTACTCTTGCCTCAGCTTGGACTCTGCTTATGAAATAAGGTGAGGGGTCAGGAGGTTGGGATCTCACGATGGGACAGGTCATTAAATAAGTGACAGACACTTGATTTCTATCTATCTGTCCACACTGGGGTGATAGAAATGAAAAATCTAGAATCCCTGTTTCACTAGCAGTGAACCTGCCCTAAAATGCCACAAGTTATTTATTAGTTAGATGCAAATCAATGTTTCACATATCCACACCACAGGTTTTGAGCCCACACATGGTGTTAAGAGGGGATGATGAAATTCAACCCAGGAGAAGAGTCAGTGCACATTGCCCCCTCTGGGAAGACTGATGATATACAATAAAAGGAAAAAGAAATGATTCCTAAAGTTCTCCCTTAATTTTCAGTCACAAAGCCTTTATCCACTTGTTGGGCAGATGGAGCTGAAACCATTCCCTTAACCAGGAATATACGAGAGGGCAAGTGAGGCTGTGTGGGGTGCCAATGTTGCTGTGGGGATGCACACAGCTAATTAAAACCACAGCCCACTTTCCCCTCACAGCACTCTGCAAACAATGTTGGTGATGATGCAGTCTGACCAAGTTAAAAAGCAATTAGTTTCCCCTGCAGAGGATTTACAGGGCAAGACAATGCACCTTGAATAAATACCATTGAGTTTACACCTACATCTGAAGACGGATACTTCATGATGTAGCAGATTCGGCTTCAGCGCAAGGACAATGACAGGCTCCCTCCAAGGACCTGCAGCCTCACACCCAAAGTGACTTGGGGGTGAGATGGTGAGCCTGCTTAGCCCCCTCGATTACAGATTGACCCAGTATTCTTGAAGTTGGCTTGCGTATGAGGACATATGTGATAGTAATCATTATTCTAGAAAGTCCTGGGGAGAATGAGATTAAAATCAGGCAGAGAGGGTCCTCCATTATTTCTGTTCTCATAGCTATTATAAGAACTATTTTAGAACTCTTATCACACCATGATATAATTCGTTCTCCTAGAAGAAGGAAGAGCAACCAGTGGACCATGTCTGCAGTCCTTGTGTGACCCTTCTTGTTTTGTGATATTGCCCTCAATTAGTTTTCTGGACAAAAGTTAAAAAGCTGCAACCATGAACAGAAGTACAGTGTAGAGGATGAGAGAAAAGATTCTGGTGCTCAAATTCCTGGGTTTGAAGCAAATGTCAAACACATACACACACACACACGCATATAGTCATGTACTGCATAATGGCATTTTGGCCAATGACAGACTACATATACAAGGGTGATTGGGCATGGTGGCTCATGCCTGTAACCCCAGCACTTTGGGAGGCTGAGATGGGAGGATCTCTTGAGCCCAGGAGTTCAAGACCAGCCTAGGCAGCATGGTGAGACCCTGTCTCTAGTTTTTTTTTAAAAAAGATCACCATACTGTGTTTTTGGCATATCTTTTTGTATTTAAATATATTTAGATATACAAATACTTAACATTGTGCTATAATTGCCCATAGTATTCAGTACAGTAACATGCTGTGCAAGTTTGTAGCCCAGGAGCAATAGGCATAGCCTATATCCTGTACCCTGTGGCCTAGCAATAGGCTATACCCTATAGTCTATTACATCCATAGGTGTAATAGGCTATAACACCTAGGTTTGTACAAATAGACTCTACCATGTTTGCACAGCAACAAAATCACCAAAGGACACATTTTTCAGAATGTATCCCTGTTGCGAAGCAATGCTTTGTGACGGTGTATGTAAATGCTTGTGCATGGATGGATGGATGAGTGAATGGATACAGCCTGCATCGCTGTGAATGGATACATGGACAAGTCCTTTAATCTCTCTGTACCCTGGTCTCTCCATATATAAAATGAAGAAGTGTTGTGATGATTAAAAAAGTCAATAGAAGTTACAATGCTTTTAGAACAGAGCCTGGCACTTAGTAATCTCAATGTGAATGTTGACTATTATCATTTGTTAAATACTTGGAAGTATTAAAAGGTGGGTGGTTAAAATGCAACAGCAACTCTCTTGCTACACACTTATTCAATAAGGTAGGTAATCTAAAAGGGTGGGAAAATAACTCTTTACCGTGGAGCTCAACTAAAGATATTCTCTTTTGGAATAATAAAAAAAATGGCAGCTCTTGGACATTTACATTTTTATTTCAAAAATGGGCCTCAGGTATAAAAGGCAGTGTTGTTTTGTTTGTTTTTACTGTCTTAGTCTTCTCATTACAGAAGCTTTGGTCTCTACTATTTACCACAGTATCCAGAGCAAAATAGGAGAAGGAAGGAAGGGAGGGAGGGAGGGAGGGAGGAAGGAAGGAAGGAAGGAAGGGAGGGAGGGAAGGAGGGAAGGAGGGAGGAAGGAAGGAGAAAGGAAGGAATAAAAGGATGGAAAGAAAGAAGAGAGGGAAGGAGGCAGGGAGAAAAGGAGAGAGGGAGGAAAGGAGATAGGTATATTCAATATCCAGCTCTCTTTAGATCAGCTGTTGAATATTCATTAGACGCAGTGATTTTTTTTTTATCTCTACTCATCAGAGGCAGATTCAAACCAGAACAAGTGCCATGTTATTTTGCAAACAATAGATTCTCCACTGATGGGATCCAAGTGGAACGAATGAAAATGAACCTGAACAAAACGTAGCTGCACAGTGTCAGGATTCCTCATGACTATAAAGCCAAACAGAAGCTGTGCCAACAGGCCTCCTTTTCTCCTGTACTTCTCGGCTTGTCCTTCACAGCTCACCCTTATCTTTGTTTCCTGCCATTATTTGTTATGAGGTTAACGAGAATGTCCTTCATTTTGGCTGGTTCACCATTCTTGTGGACACTTGCAGTGACGCTGATCGACTGTCATCTGCAAGGGTTTTCTGCATCTGCTCTGATAATGGGCCTGCTTTTTAAAAAGTACACACAACACAGCCAAAGGAGTGCGCTCAGAGTGTGGCCCAGGGCAAGGAACACTGACCATAGTCAGAAAAGTGTCTTTTATTTTCACTTATCTTCCTGGTCTTTACTATGAGCCAAAGCTTCCACAAAACTCCATTTTCCCCATCCCTGTACCACAACACAGTATGTGTGAGTGTGAAGCAACTGGTCAAATAAAGTGGGATGTATAAAAATATTTCCCAAACCTGTAAACCTCCATGCATGTGCTTGCATGCGCACACACACATCCGCACAATTATTACTCCTGTTACCTTGGAAGGCACCACATCTTATAGTAGATGCTAAAAGTGAGTTAGCATCTACTATTAGAGGCTAAGCGTGAGTTCACGTCTCACCCTTAGCACCTAATACTTCTCTGACTTTTTGGGCAGGATACTCAGTTTTTCCAAGGCTTCACTTATTTATTTATAGAGAGGAGTTTAGGGGGAATTTCCCCTGCAAGGTTTATAAGAATTCAGCAGGTTAAAATACATAAAGTGCTTCCTTCGTGGGAGGTCTATTTTAAGGTGTAGTAGTTTTAAAACATGTTCACAAATTCTTTGATAGTCATCACGTGCCAGAGCCTGCGGCTGTGCTTGGCTTGGAAAGGTCTCCAGTGGGGGTGCAGTTGTGTAGGTGGGATATTAGATTCTTATTGTTGCATCACCAATGTGAAATAAAGCTGTAAATAAGACCCCAAGCTCTCCAGATGACGTGGGCTTCCTGTGGCTGATAGAGACGCCCACATTTGTAAAACAGAACCAAATGGCCATAGCAGGGTGAGAGAAGAGAGGTCACACACTCCTGTGTTCTCGGAAAGGCAGCTCTTGAAAAACATCCCACTTTCCACCCCTGAGCCAGAACGGTTCCTGTAATCAAAGCAAGATAAACTGTGGCCCAAATGCCCCCTCCCCCCAGTCACTGAACCCTAACGTTTAGAAGAAACATCTGTCAGAGACTTCTGGTTTCAGGCTTGAAAACCACCCAATCAGGCCTCAACTATTTCCAACAGTTGGAACTGAGCAAATCTGAATCCTTCATTTGCATAAACAGACTTGATTGAGAACCGAGGCAGGAAACTTTTCTGATGAAGTCGGACCCTTCCTTTGTTTGTGGAAGGGCATACTTTCACTTGAATTAAAGGCTGTGCTTCCCCCAACCTTCAGAGTGTTTTTTATTTTTTTTTAATGGAAAATGAAACTCTCACTTTTTCCTCTGAAGATCTCATGGTCTTTTGTTAACACAAGTTACTACTAACGTAACAACTTAAAACTCCATCTCTTTATCAGGTCACAGTTCTGAAGGTCAGAAGCCCAGATATGGTGTGACAGGGTTTTCTGTTTAGAATGGCTGAGTTCTCATCTGAGGGATCTAGGGAAAATTCAGATTCAAGCTCGCCCTCATTCTCTGCTGAATTCAGGTCTCTGTGGTTGACGGACTGATGTCCTCATTTCCTTGCTGACATCAGCTGGCTCTCAGCCCAAAGGTCCATCTGCACCCTTGCCACATAGCTCTCTCTCCTTTAAGTCTGCAAAAACGTGTTGAATCTTCAGATTCAAGTCTCTGATTTCTTGTGCCGGCACCAGCCAGAGAAAATGCCCAGACTTTATGATAAGGTCAGGCCTATCTGGATGATCTCTCTATCTTAAAGTCAAGTTAAGGTCATATAACGTAACCTAATCACAAGAGTAGGAATCTTCTATTATATTCACAGTCTTGGGAATTATGCATGGCATGTACAGATTGAAAGGCAAGAAATTTGGAATGCCATTCTAGAAGTTTGCCCAAAACAGGTAAGACTGCTGCTTCTCCCATCAGCACCCCTGGGGATGCCTTAGAGCAATTCTTTCAGCTGGTCTTCTCTTCCCTAGTCTAGCTCTATAACTTCAGGTGACCTTTGTAAAGAGAGGTTGACAGGACAATGTCTGTGTGCTTGATGTGGCACCACAGAATTGTGACCAGAGACTTCCCAGTGGGGCTCCGCTGTTCCAATATTTAGTATGTTGCACCAACTAATACACAGTTTTTTTTGTTGTTGTTTTTGTTTTTTTTTTTAACGGAGTCTCATTCTAACACCAGGCTGGAGTACAGTGGTGTGATCTTGGGCTTGGCTGTTCCAATATTTAGTATGTTGCACTAACTAACACACAGTTGTTCTTTTATTATTATTATTATTTTAGACAGAGTCTCGCCCTAACACCAGGCTGCAGTACAGTGGCGCCATCTTGGCTCACTGCAACCTCTGCTGCCTCCTGGGTTCAAGCAATTCTCCTGCCTCAGCCTCCTGAGTAGCTGGGATTACAAGCACGCGACACAATGCCTGGCTACTTTTTGAATTTTTAGTAGAGACTGGGTTTCACCATGTTGGCCAGGATGGTCTCAATCTCTTGACCTCGTGATCCACCTGCCTCGGCCTCCCAAAGCACTGGGATTACAGGTGTGAGCCACTGCGCCTGGCTCCGTTGTTCTTATTCGAAGGGGAACACCTAGTAGGTGAGTGACCTGCCCAACTTGCTTGGTCAAGCAAAGTCTTATGCCTATCTCATGGGGACATCACCCAAGGATGATTATCGGATGGTTACCTCAATGTACCACCTGTCCTTTAAAGCTGGGAAAGCCTGTAGGACTTTCCTGCTGCTCTGCCCCTGCTCTTTGTCTTCCCTGACAGTCCCATGCTGTCTATGGGGATATAATTCACTTATTCACTCATGTGCTTAAGAAAATATCAGTTGAGCACCTATGATAAGCATGTGCCAGTAAATGCACAAACGTTATTTCTGTAGCAGCTGGATTATTACAGCAGCATTCAGATTGGTCTTCCTGCTTCTACCATTGCCTTTCTGTAGCCAATTTCCTACACACACGACTGATGATCCTTTTAAAAGAATTTACATAATGCCATTCTTCTGGTCAAAACCCTCCAATGGCTTTCCAGCTGTTACAGTAAAAGCTAGAGTCCTCACCATGGCCTATAAGGCCTGAACCACCTGCAGCCCCTCTGACCTCACCTCCTGTGCATCTCTCTCTCCTACTCTGCTCCGGCCACACTGGTTTGCTTGGTTCCTTCTCAGGCCATGTGTTCCCACGTCACGACCTCTGCACATGCCAATGCCTCTCTCTAGACCGCCATCCCCCAGACACCGGCAGGGCTTGCTTCCTTCAACTCTCTGCTCAGATGCTGTATTCTCAGTAATATCTTCCCTGACCACCTTCTATGGAGTAGCACATCCACTTCCCTTTTCATTTCCCATCCTTTTATTTTTTCCTCCATGGCCTTACTACTCTGTGGCATTTTATTTATGTACTTGTCTGTCTGTGTCTCCCACCAGAATATAAGCTATAGCAGCACAGAGACTGTCTTCTTTGCTGCTGTATCTCCAGGACGTACATTTCCTGGTACACAGTGATGGATGAATGTGTTGTAAGTACCGTGCTATATTCTGGGTATAAAGAGATGAATAGCACAAGATTTTTTAGATTCTTTTTTTTTTTTTTTGAGGTGGAGTCTCACTCTGTTGCCCAGGCTGTAGTGCAGTGGCTCACTGCAACCTCTGCCTCCTGGGTTCAAACGATTCTCCTGCCTCAGCCTCCCGAGTAGCTGGGATTACAGGTGCCGGGCCACCACACCCAGCTAATTTTTCTATTTTTAGCAGAGACGGTGTTTCACCATGTTGGCTAGGCCAGTCATGAACTCCTGACCTCAAGTGATCTGCCCACCTTGGCCTCCGAAAGTGTTGGGATTACAGGTGTAAGCCACCGCACCCAGCCTAGATTTTTACCTTTGGAGGAGTTCATAACTGGGTGGCAGGAGAAGAGGCAGATGCCAGCAATCAGGGGGTGCTGTAAGGGAAGGCCAAGGGAGCAGAGGCTGGGCCTGGAGAATCACAAAAGCCTTGGGGAGCAGTAACAGTTGAGCCCATCCTGGAGGATGAGCAAGGAGTGACTGGGGAGAATGCGGGGGAGGCCTCTCACACCCCCTCTCACTTCCCCTTGTCCCTCTGCTTCAGTCATGGTGGCTGGTGGCTGTCCTCGATCCCCACTGGCTAGGGGTAGATGTGTTGCCCGGGTCACATGCTTCCTCAGAGTCAATCACTGAGGCTGGGAAGATAGAATGATCTCGTTGACCAGGCTTGGGTCATGTATTCCCCTTGGATAATGAGAAAGGGAGGGAGGTTCACTCCTATCAATCACAGAGCCTGGGAGAAAGGGGGTTCCTAAAAGGAGAATTTAGCTGCTATTTCCATACAGTGAAATGAACAGTGGGCTGGCCAAACAACACAATGGTCTCTCTTCCCACTTGGTTATTTTCACATCCATACTTTTTCTTTGTTCTGTTTTCAGTTTTCCTGTACTTAGGAAACTGTACCCTAAATATGCCAGAACTCTTGTTCTGTGTCCAGCCAGGAAGATGCCACAGGATGCCAGTAGCAGCTGGGCGTGGGGGACATCCAGGCATGCGGTGTAGGAAGGGGTGGGGTGAGGGTGTAGAGTCATCTCTGCTTCTGTCCTACTGGGTTACTGGCAGGATAGAACATTGTTCTGCACAGAGATTAGAACTCAGGGTATGAATGGCTCAGAGTTTAGGTACAGACTGCATTAAACAGTCATTCTATAACCACCGCTGACAAGACAACCAGCTTACAATAAAGTATTATTAGCCTTTGACTTGTTTGTAAGAAGGAATTATCTTGTTTAACCACATGAAACCTTCTGCTTTACTTCCCAAATGTTCCTTTAACAGTTTGATGACCATTCATCCTGGTTTGCTCGGGATTGAGGGGCTTTCTAAGACACAGAATTTGCAGTTTAAAAATTAGGACAGTTCTGGGAAAAGGGTAGATATGAAAACAAAATAAACAGTGTTTTTTGGACTTTAGGGTATTTTATAATTGTAGAGACTGTAGAGTTGTACCTACAAACTGTTTTAATAAAGAACTGTACTGCATCCTGTCATAAGTGAGGCTGCACCCAGGTGTTGCAGAAGAAATCTTTGGAATCACCTGTTCCTTAGGTAATTAATTCTACCTTGTGTGTTAGCTCAGGCTACTATAATAGAGTACCACAGATGAGTGGCTTAAACAAAAAAACATTTATTTCTTACAACTCTGGAGGCTGAAGTTTAAGATCAGGGTGCCAACACGACTGGGTTCTTGGGGAAGGCCCTCATCTTGGTTGACAGAGAGCAGTCTTCTCCTCGTATCTTCACATGGCAGAGAGCAGAGAGATAGAAAGCAAGTTTTCTCCCGCCTTTTTCTAAGGGTACTAATCACATTCATGAGGACTCCACTCTAGTGACCTGATTACCTAATTGCTTCTTTAAGGCCCCACACTTTAATACCTTCACCTTGTGGGTTAGGATTTCAACAATATGAATTTTGGGGGGACACAAACATCCGTCCATTGGATGTTGATTAGATAGGAAGCAAAAGTTGGATTCAGTATGGTACAGTACTTTAAGATCCCATTTATTTTAAAATTTGTTTCAATTTATGCCATCTTCTTTTGTTGTTAATCTCTAAGAGATATAAGCTATTTAATTTTTTGTTATTGTTACCTAATAACACATACAGGAAACTGTAGAAATTAAGCATCAAATCAATGAATTTTCTAACAAGAAGATATCCGTGGAACTACCATCCAAATAATTCATTTTCCATGGATAAAGTACATTCAACTATGGAGTCTTTTTTTCTGTTTTGTGAGACGTTGATTCACCATATCTGAATTCCATGTATCTTTGAGCTACTTAAACTGATGCCAGAATTCCAGGCACAGCAACAAAACAAAAGAACCCAACTTCCGGTGAGCCTTGCAAATCCAAACTGCTTTTCAGTGATGGAAAATGCTATCTGATTAACATTTAAAACGAGTACTTTTGATACAAGAGATACATATACTTTTTTCCTTTTTTTTGGAAGCTCCTCCTATGAATTTACTTTACTATATCAACTTTTCACTGTATTCAACATATATGGACTGCAAAATAAATCAAGGTGGAAGGCCCTACATTAACAGTTGGGATAATAAATAGTATACTGTTATAATAATAGAGCATTACAAATGTTGCAGAAATGATGGTGATGACAGCTATATTTTACAAATCCAACTTTGTTTTTTTAGATAATCATTGGACTGGCATATGTCTCAGGCTAAAGGGAAACCAAGAGGTCCATGTGTGGGCAGAAACCAATTAAGTTGAGCACTCACTGAACTGCTTTCTCAGCCAGGATGGGGAACGACTGACTACAAATTAAGCTGTACACATGTTAGACTGAAAGAGTTTACAGGTAAATGTGGCCCAAGGCCACTGCCACGTCATTCGTTGGCCGGAACACTTGCAGTGGTAAAGTGAGACGGAGAAGCTATTTAATTCTTTGCAAGAGGAGATCTTTATACACTTTGGTGTGAAAGTAAAGAGGGAAAACTGGGCGTCCTATGCATGGCTGAGGACGGGAAGCCTGCCTACACCAGTGGTTCTCAACCCTAGCGCACTTCAGGAACTTCCTGGAGTTTAGAAAGAAGAAAAAAGAATACAGGTGCTCAAGACTCGCTCAAGACCAATTACTCATGTTAAACAAGATTTATGGGAGGCCATTGTTTTGGACTAACCTCCTGCACTAGGTCCTAGCAGACTAGACCAAACCAGAATGGAGTCACTTGTGCCAAGTGCCATGTAACCAAACTGAACTTTGAAACAGGCCCGTTTTCCCAAAAAACAGGAGATTGTAGTTAACCTGAGTCAGTACAATAACGAAGTCCAATCTGTTTTAACCCTATAAGGAAAGTAACTTTGAAATACCCACTCTTTGTTTTGTTCTTCAGCCTTTTTTTGCCCATAAAGCCAACCTCCTCTGCACAACTCATTGGAACACTCTATTTGCTTTATGAAATGATCTATTTCTCGATTCTAGATCCTAAATATAAGCCAATTAGATCTTTAAACTAAACTTGTAATTTTGTCTTCTGACACTCCCTATTACTGCAGGTGAAACCCAGGCATCAGAGCAAGTTTAAAACTCCCCAGCTGATTCTATTCTGCAGGAATGTTTGAGAACAAAGTTGGAGTCATTAACATGGCATCCCCCTTTGAGGAATGCTTCCAGGTCACAAACCTTCTACAAAAGGGCTGTCCCGGCAGCCTTGGGCAATTTCAGCTCCTAGGTCCGGAGTCAAGGGGCAGAACTTGGGTGATGGCGCTGACTTGAAGCAGCAATAGTTTAATAACTGACGTTCTCACGCACTTATCTCTGCAAATACCCCACAAAAGCCCTGAACCCAGAATGAAACTTAAGAGACCGTACAACCCGCTCCGCCTATAGGAACTGCCGCGGCACAGGCGCCAATGCCGAGGGCTGAATGCGCAGGCGCGGACCGGGGACTCGGGAGAAGGCGCATGCGTGGTCTTGAGGGCGGTGCTTCCGGTCAAAGCACCGCTTGGGGGCGGGGCCTGCGACACGCGGTGGGCGGGTCCTGAGTCGCGACCCTGGTCCGGACCTGACCTGAATTGCGACCCCAACCTGGACTGCTCCCCTGACCGCAACCCCTACCCCCGCCCACCAGTATGGCCCGGCACGTGTTCCTAACGGGGCCCCCAGGTAACCCTGAGGGGATCCCCACCTCCAAGAGGTCGAGGGGGTGGGGGCGCGCGGGCTGCGGGCGACCTTGTGCTGTCGGGGAGGGTCTCCGGCTCCAGGGCTCCGGCCTCTGAAGTTCCCAATTTAAATGGCGGGCTTGGTAGTCTGAAGAGTTTGTACTCCTTCCCGGAAAACGTGATTTAAAAGACACAGGGCCTAAAGGATTAGAACACACTTGTGAGGGGGTCCTAGACTGGCTTCTTGATGAAGGGCAGAAACCGCAGGGGCCAGCGGCAGCGGTAACTCCTACTGTAGTGTTGACGTTGTGGTCTGCACAAATGGTATTTCAAGAGATCTGCGGCAACCGCGATGTGAAGTGGAGATGTCTAATTTCTGTTGATAGTCACAGGTATTTCCTTACTGTGGGTCTTTGCTACATTGATCGTGCAAAAAAAAAATGGTAAATTTTAGTTGGAGGACAGCGAAACTGAAGTTGTAACCTTTCTTTCCCATCTAAGTTCATCCCCCCACCCCCATCCCCATCTCCATCCCCACGAATTCCCTCCACAGCTGAGGCCAGAGGTGGAGAAGCTTTGGTACCTACAGGAGCCCTTCTCAGACACTCTTGCTTGTTCCTGTCGCTGTCCCCTCCTGATGTCTGTCAGATCCCTCAACCCTGTGGCCTGTGGAGTTCTCATCTGAGAAGCAGGATAGCGTTGAGGTCAGATGAGAGGTGTAGGAGGAGGTGCTTTTAAACCAAGGCGCTACCCATGTATCAAGCATTACTAAAAAGGACAGGTAGGCTGCATCAGATAGGCTAAAAAAAGATAGATGGGCTAAGAGTGGAGAAAGTGATTTCTTCAGCTCCTTTGCAAGGCAAATCTAATTTTGAAGTTTAGTGTGGGTTCAGATATCAAAGGCTGTAACCCTGGATCTAGAATTCTCTTTCACTTTATTTTAATGATTATGTTTAGTTGTAAGTAGCAAAGGCTACAGCTAATATTGCAGACTTTGGGATTTTGTCAGGCATTGGATGGGGGAGTTGGGGAGCAGGGGGTGAGGAGGAGGAGGGTGGTTTGAGAAATGCCTGCTATCTAAAGTCACTCCTAAGTATTGCAAAGAACTGTTTTCTGAAAGTTGGTTTGTCAATCCTTTATTTGAAACTTGGAATGCAGTTTGATACTCAGCAGGCTGACCCCAAGACAACTGTGTGTTTTATTAATGGAGGTGTCCTGTTACCGTGATTGTATTGATGGTGGTTCTTGTTTCTGCTTTATCAAAGTCTTACCTACACGTAGTTGAAAGACTCAAATAATTCTACAGTGTAGCTCTCTTAAACCTGTCCTCAAACCCACGCACCTTTGTCTTTTCTCCTTCTCTTCTTAATGTAGTTACAGCGTAATTTTCATTAGTCAATGTTTACAGTATTATGGCCATGTAAAGACAATCACAACAGAGCCACATAGTAATCTATGATTTCTTTTCCATTTATTTATTTATTTTAGAGACAGGATCTTGCTTTGTCACCCAGGCTGGAGTGCAGTGAAACAGTTATAGCTCACTGCATTCTCAAACTCCTGGGCTTAAGTGATCCTCCCACTTCAACCTCCTGAATAGCTGGATCTACAAGCGCATGCCACCACACCCGGGTATTTTTTTTTTTTTGTAGAGACCTGTCTCTTGTTATGTTGCCCAGGCTGATCTCCAACTCCTAGCCTCAAGTGATCCTCCCATCTGGGCCTCCCAAAATACTGGGATTATAAGTGTGAGCCACCTTACCCATCTTTTTTTTCCCTCTTCTTATTGAGACAGGGCCTCTCTCTGTTGCCCAGGTTGGAGTGCAGTGGCACAATCTTGGCTCACTGCAACCTCCACCTTCCAGGCTCAAACCATCTTCCCACCTCAGCCTCCCTAGTAGCTAGTACTACAGGCATGCACCACCATGCCCTCTAATTTTTTTTTTTTCCTTTTACACATAACTTTTTTCCCCATTAGGAGTTATTGTCAGGTGTTTTTATTTGCCTAGTTTCTTTCTGTTTTCTCAATATGTTCAGACCATCAGGTAAAGTCTCCTCTCAAAGAGGTCACTTTTTGTTGCATATCCTCTTAGTGCCCCTGGCACTTAGCATTTTTTCCGATTTCCAACTGTCTGTACCCATGACTCATCTTGGAGGGCTTTCTCTGGTCCCTGGAGCCCACTTGGCCTGCAAACAGAGCAGGCCAGAAGAGCCAGGGAATTCCTGTGCCCTGGGATTAGCCTTCAACCTGTGATTGGTGAAAGTTAGTTGATAAATTCCCTACTTTCTCACTCCTCAGACAGGATAACTGAGCCACTTGCCCTGACTTGTCCCTTAGGATTCCCCAGGGGGTTGAAGCTCCAGCTGCCCCCAGTGGAACTTGCTTGACAGTGCACCTCATGCTGGTGTCCTTCCCTTCCCTTTCTGAATTTCTTCCCTGCCAGTCCATCATGTTGTCACTGCCCAGGTTAAACTACCTGCACTTGAATCTTTATCTGAGGATCTGCTTAGGGGAGAACCAGAACCAAAATAATTCCAGAGCTTTCTGATCTGTTTGTGCCTGGTATACAGCTATCATCTCGAGGTCTCCTGAAGCAGAGGTCATTTCTTATCCAGACAGCATTGGGGTAGCAGCTTAACTAATGAAGAAAAAATTAACTGAAAGAAGATTCCTAGAGCTGAAGAAGCCAAAAGGGACTTTGCCCAAATGCTTCCTATTTATTGCTCTACTATGTTCTACACAACATACAGTCCCCACAGTATACCCTTTGTGAACAGGAATAGTTACCGTTGCTCCATTTTATCTTTTTCAAAATATAAACGGCAATTTTTGTTAGGATAAGAGTAAGACCCATTCAGTATAAGAATTAAAAAAAACAAGAAAAGTTTAAGGAAGAAAGTGACAATCACAGGGAATTTGAACATCAGAAATCAACATTGTAAATCTTTGTTCTGTATTCTTCTTGACATTTTTTTTTTCTGTAGACACGTACTTGACCATTCTTTAAAAAAAACATAATGGAATGGTTTCTGCTATTAACCTGCTTTTTCCATATATTATTTTCATACATTGTGGTCTATTTTCCATGCTAATAAATACATATAAGCAGTATATTTTTTAATGGTTGCATGGTATTTCTGTGTATTTATGTGCTATTATATACATGGTGCCATGAGTTAACATTCCCTTACAATCAACATTTAGGTTGTTTTCAGTGTTTTGCTATTATAAAGAATGTTGCAGTGAATGTCCTCTTTCACACATTTGTATTGTTGATGTTTCCTGAGGATGAATTCCTAGTCATGAACTACAGGGTGCTGTGGCAGGCGCATTGAAATTGCCCTTCAGAAAAGAAGTAGCAGCTTACACATTCGGCAATGCCATTACTTGCATGAAACAGATTCTTTAGTGACTTTCCTAAAGCAGTTGTTACTGATGGCCAGGGCTGGATTAGAATGTCATCATTTTATGTTCTACACAGTTCTACCAGCTGCATGCTCACTGTGGCTTACTGTAGCCAGAATCCTGTTGTGTTGCTGTTCATGTTCCAGAAAGCCAGGTGCCATTATTTTAATGTGAAGTGTGAAGATAGATACATTAAATAAGAATAATGGATCATATTTTATGTCAAGGAGGCTTAAAAGAGTGGGTAGTCTTAGAAATAGCATGATTTGCAACTCTGTAGTATCTCAAAATAGCTCACTTGCAGACATGCTAGGAGTTTTCTCTCTCTTTCCATTGTTGGGTAGTCATGATGCCACTTACTTAAATCCATATTGGGAACAAGGCTCATATTTTAAAAAGTCATGGTGACAGGTAAAGTCCCCTGTTGAAAGGTATGGACCTTATGAGGGGTATAGCCTTGGGTAAAATACCTAACCACCATGTACCTCAGTTTCTCCATCTGTAAAATATGCATAAGGATGGTAATTGCCTCAGAGGATGGTTGTGAGGACTTAACCAAGAAAATGCTTCCAAAGTGTGCTAGAACAGTGTCTGGCTCCATGACGTCAGTGATGAGTATTACTATATTAGGTAGCACCTGTTGGTGCTTACAAACCAGTGAGTTCATCAGAGTAGTCAGCTGACCAGGCTGGATGGACAGGAAGGATCAAGGTGGGGAGGCTGAGGGGGCAGAGGTACATAGGTTCAAACTGGGGAAGGTGTGGGGGATAAAGGTGAAGAAATGCTTAGAGACCCTGGAGAAGATGATGTTGGAAGGAGTTGCTAACCTGATAGGCTTGCTGTTATGAAAAAGTTTGAAAGTGACCATTAACAGGGATGCTAATGATATTTAAGAGACACATTTTCAGGAGTTACAACAATGTAAGTCAAAGGAGGAACAAAGTGATTTTCCCACTGTTAAGTGTAGGTCCGTTTGTAATCTCTTGAAAGCTGAAATCTTAAATTCCCAGCCCCTGACTCAAGTGTGACCAGTGTTACTTCCTGGGCAGAAAAATGGGAACTGTAAACCATTTCACAGGATGCAAATGGCATGGGAGAATATCATCAGGAACCTCTCAGTTGATTCTGGGATTGTGTACGTGACAAAATTAACAATGTTTCACAATTTAAAAATAAACCTCAAGATATCATTCGTGTTTTTATTATGCTTGTTTCTACTTGAAATTAAGCATTTTTAGCACCTGGAGCAATCAAAATTAAATTGAAGTTCATATTCATAAATCCATTTACAGCCCATTTCTCTACCCACCATAATTGCTGCCTCAGAGTCCACAAGTGCTGTGTGTGCTCTAGTAAGGGAATGTTTCCTAATGGGCTTTTCTTCTTTTTTTTTTTTTTTTTTTATTTTAGGAGTTGGAAAAACAACATTGATCCATAAAGCCAGTGAGGTTTTAAAATCCTCTGGTGTGCCTGTTGATGGATTTTATACCGAAGAAGTCAGACAGGGAGGGAGAAGAATAGGATTCGATGTCGTCACGTTGTCCGGCACCCGGGGGCCTTTATCGAGAGTTGGGTACTGATATTTCATTTCTGTGGTGTTCTATTATCTAAGCTCCCCTTCCATCTGTGCTTTGGGAGCTTTTCAACAAGAGCTAAATTCACCAAAAGCAGATACTCTGTTGGGTCCTTGGATGCCCATCTGCTTTCCCTTTAGGTTGAGAGTGTCTCCCTGGGCACAGGGTTGAGCCAAATGTTGTCATCTATCCTCAAGAATCTTAGGCCTTTAGGGATTTCTCAGAGAAAGAAAACAGAATGAAACCATCACATGAAAAAAGTATAAGAAAGTGATATTTTACTTAAAACTTGTTCACCAAGTCATAAACTCCTCTCACTTTATAATTCTTAGTCCTGTTTCTGGTGCCACTTTTCAAAGACTGTTGATGCAGTAGCTGCTTGGACCTTAAGAGATAGCCCTGCCATAACTGCAAGGCCCATTGTTGGAGGTGTGGACACTTTGAACAGGGTAGCTCTGTTCAAAGCAGAGAAAACCTGATCAGCTTTACAGACCACCGCATTTTGTGTTGGTCATTTTTAAGGATGATTTAGCATATGTGGAATGCCAGAGGCTCAGTGGAGCAGCTAAAAACCAGAAATCAATACAGGAGTTTTTCAACAAAGAACATAATGTCTTTTCCTTCAGGTTAGAGCCTCCACCTGGAAAACGTGAATGCCGAGTTGGGCAGTATGTGGTCGACCTGACTTCTTTTGAGCAGTTGGCACTACCCGTCTTGAGGAATGTGAGTACGTGATTTCTGCTTTTTGAACCCATCTGCTCTTAGTGTATTGTGGGAATTGCTAGCCATGGAAACAGAATGCCTTTTGCTCTTAAAGGCCCCAGTTTTGCATTTTACAATTGAAAAGATTGAGTCTTAATAAGGATAAACAACATAATTTGCTATCACTCTGAGCTACAGATAAATTCCTATAAATTCAGTACATATAAATATTTTATTTTGGAAAGGCTCTTGATGCCCAGGTACCAACATTCCCAAAGATAAGTCTTTCCTCTGTCTTCTCACAGTCATGTCTTAACCTGGTTTCACAGCACAACAAACATTTAGGAAGAGAAAATGTCATTATATGAACATAATAGCCAGTTGTTATTGAATGCCTACCAAGTACTGTAAGCAGTTAACGTATTATATTATTATATTACCTTTTTTAAAAAAGAAAAAAACTTTATTGACATCTTACGGCTTCTTTCTTTCTACTTTGAATGCCTTTTATTTCATTTGCTTGCCTAATTACCCTGGCTAGAACCTCCAGTCCAACATTGAATAAAAGTGGTGAGAGTAGACATCCTTATCTTATTCCTAATCTTAGAAAGAAAGTATTTAGTCTTTCACCATTATGTATGATGTTAACTGTGTCTTATTTGTATAGAGTTTACTCAGGCGTATTTTGTTGAGGATTTCTGCATCTTTATTCACAAAAGATATGGTCTGTAGCTTTCTTTTCTTGGGATATTGTTGTTTAGTTTTGGTATCAGGTTAATACTGGTCTAATAGAGTTAGGAAGTGTTTCCTTCTTTTCTAATTTTTGGAAGAGTTTGTGAATGATTCGTATTAATTTTTCTTTGAATAATTGATAGAATTCACTAGAGAAGCCATGTGGGCTAGGTTTTTCTTGGTGAGAAGCTTTTAAATTACCAATTAAATCTCTCCTTATAGGTCTGTTGATTTTGTATTTTTTTGTTGAATCAGTTGTGGTAATTTGTACCTTTTAGTAATTTGTCCATTTCATCTGAAGTATCTAAGTTATTGGCATATAGTTGTTCATAGATTCACCCATAATGCTTTTTATTTTGTAAGATTGGTGATATTGTCACTTCTTTCTTTATTTTAGTTATTTAAATCTTCTCTTTTTTCCTTGGTCAGTCTAAAAGTTTGTCAATTTAGATGATCTTTTCAAAGAACCAGCTTTTGTTTTATTGATTATGTAGTTTTATGTATCTATTTATCAGATATTTATCAAGTACTGCATATACAGTCATGAACAAAACAGACATGTTTCTACTCTTTCAAAACTGTTAGTCTAGTGGGAAAGGTAGACACTAAGTAAATTTATACTTGTCATGGTCATTAATGCTGTGAAAGAAAAGAACAGGGTGCTATGAAAGGGAGGGACAGGAAGAACTGACTTTAGACCAAGGGACCAGGAAAGAGTTCTGGGAAGATGACATTTAAACAGAAAGGAACAGGTGAGAGGGCATTGGGGAGAGAGAGTTAGTATTGGGGTATTTGTATGTGTCAGGGTGGGGAGGTCTGGGGAGAATATTCTAAATGGCAGGAACAGATACATTCAGACCTCAGAGCCCTGGAGCAGGAGCAGGTGAAGAAGGTAAGTTTGGTGAGGTGGGGGGCCATGAGATGCAGGGCTCTGTGGACCATGTTAAGGAATGTGAGTGTCATTTAATCTATTACAGACTTACTACTTTGATTTGTGAAAATTAAATGATACAGACCTGTCTCAAAAACCAACTATAAACTATCCAGAGTTTTCTATGGCACCAAGAATAAAGTCCAAAGTCCTTCCAGTGGCCTAGAAGGCCCTGTAGCCCTGTGATATCTGGCCTTACTAACCTCTGACCTCATCTTGCCATTCTTCAGCCACACTGGTTCAATCAGACTTCCCACATATGCCAGGCTGAGGCCCTTGGCACTTGCCATTTTTTTTGGTGAGCACGCTGTCTTCATAGATCTTTGCCTCTCTGCTCCTTGACATTCAGAGCTCAGCTGAAGTATGTAGTGGTGGTTGCCCAAAGGCTGCTGAAGATTTTAGCTATAGCCTCTGAGGATATCCTCTAATCTCAGAGGGCTGGTGGTATCTTATGGTCTGTTTCAGCAGGGGGTTGTGCTTCTTGGAACCCACCAAGTTCTCCTTTTCTTCCTACGCTGTGTTTCCTCCTCCCACCTCCTTCTTCCCCAATTCCTTCCTCTTGGAACTTACCCTCAGTTCCTGTGCTGGGGACTCTCGTGGCCACTGTGTTTTGCGGGAGCAGAGAACATGGTACTTTTCTTTTTAGCTGTTTTCCCGTCACATACATTCCTCTCTACTTAAATGTTCAAAAGTCAAGTGAAATACTTCAAATGAAATTCCAAGTGAAGATTCTGGTTTTAGGAACTGACTGGGTCAATACAAAGAATTTTTTACTTACCCTGCTCAGACAGAGTAGACCAAATCCTGGGAGGAGAGTTTGCACAGGTGTTTAGTGTCTAGATGCAAGATTATATAAGAGATCATATGCTGACCAGATCAGAGCATAAATCTGTTTTTTAATTAAAAAATAAAGAAATACAGACTTCTCCCAACATTTTGTATTCTGATTGCCAAATGCAGACATGTACATTCCATGTAGAAAAAGTTCCTGGCAGGGGATTTGATATGATTTGGCTCTGTGTCCCCACCCAAATCTCATCTTGAATTGTAATCCCCATGTGTGGAGGGAGAGACCTGAAGGGAGGTGATTGGATCATGGGGGTGGTTTCCCCCATGCTGTTCTCCCGATAGTGAGGGAGTTCTCATGAGATCCAGTGGTTTCAAAAGTGGCAGTTTCCCCTGCACTCTCTCTCTCCCGCCGCCACGTGAAGAATATCCTTGCTTCCCTTCTGCCTTCCACCATGATTGTAAGTTTCCTGAGGCCTCCCCAACAATGCGGAACTGTGAGTCAATTACACCTCTTTTGTTTATAAATTATCCAGTCTCAGGTAGTTATAGCAGTGTGAAAATGGACTAATATAGGATTCTCACCCAGTCAGGGTCATGGATTTCTTTTCTGGAGCAGAAATTTTTCTCCCATCATACATATTTTATGGGAATGAAGAAAGGAGAAGGAACTAGTGTTTTGTCTTTATACTAAAGAAAAAAATGAAAAGAATATTAATTAAAATAATTAGGCAACAAAACTGGGGAGTATAAACACACCATTTTTGATACTGGCAATGAAAACAACCAAGTAAACTGGAAGTGTTAGAAACCCTTTATAAAGGGACACAGTATTAGTTCATAGTGCTGGGATCTATGAAAACACAAATTCCGATAATAAGAAATATCCATTGTGTGTAAGAAATTTCAATATGTATGAGTGAAAGATAGTTTGAGGGTTGTATGTATGTGTGTGTGTGTGTTTTAATACTACAAAAAAATAAGAAAAAAGTACTTCTCTAATTAGGCCAAGCAGGGCTATGCCTATTTGCAGGTGGGGAAGTAAGGATGTGGCTGGGACTGGTTGCAGCGGCTCATGTCTGTAACCCCAGCTCTTTGGGAGTCTGAGGTGAGTGGATAACTTCAGGCCAGGAGTTTGAGACCAGGCTGGCCAATATGGTGAAACCCAGTATCTACTAAAAACAAAAACAAAAATCAGCTGGGTATGGTGGCACATGCCCGTGTCCCAGGTACTCAGGAGGCTGAAGCAGGAGAATCGCTTGAACCCAGGAAGCAGAGGTGGCAGTGAGCTAAGATGGCACCATTGCATTCCAGCCTGGGTGACAGAGCAAGACTCCATCTCAAAAAAAAAAAAAAAAAAAAAAAAAGTGGCCGGGAGCTGAAGAGCAGCTCCAGGAGAGGCTCAGGAGGGCCAGGCACAACCCAGGTTCACCTTGCAAAACTGCTCTGGTTATGTTTCTTGTTTCTTTTTCTTTTCCTTTTTTTTTTTTGAGACAGAGTCTTGCTCTGTCAGCCAGGCTAGAGTGCAGTGGCGCCATCTCAGCTCACTGCAACTTCCACCTCCAGGGTTCAAGCGATTCTTGTGCCTCAGCCTCCCGAGTAGCTGGGATTACAGGTGCCTGCCACCGCACCTGGCTAATTTTTGTATTTTTAGTAGAGACGGGGTTTCACCATCATGGTCAGGCTGGTCTCGAACTCCTGACCTCGTGATCCACCCACCTTGGCCTCCCAAAGTGCTGGGATTACAGGCGTGAACCACTGTGCCTAGCCTGGTTACGTTTCTTTAGGCAGGAATGGAGCCTGAGCATCGTGGTCGCTCGTGAGAAATAAAGAAAAATAGAGTGTGTGTGGTAAGTGTTCTAGACTCAGGAAGGTTTTTGGAAAGCCTCTAGTAGGGTTGACTGTTAATTTTTTTCATTCCATGAGTTAACTCTTTCCTTATTTGTCAACATTTGTTATTTTCCTGAGTATTCAAGTTCTAGATATTCATGGTTAAAAAAATTATAAAAAATGTAAAATAAAAATAAAAAACACAATGTGAATAACTCATAATCTTATCACTAAGTTAGCCAATGTTAGCTTATTTTGTTTCTGCCCCTTTTGTATACCTGGTTTATTTATTCAGTCATTCAGGATCAGGGAAAATGTTATGTATAGTTTCATAGGCTTGGTGTGTTTCCCTTAATATGATTGAGGGACATGGGAATGGTCTCACAACATGCTAATCTTCAAAGCTGGGAGATTTTAGTGGTTTCATCCTATTTCATGGTATGAGTTTTCATCTTTGATTTAACTATTACTCCCTCAGTGTTGAGCATTCAGGTTCCGTATCACCATTGTAAGTAACCTTGCAACAAAGCACCCTTTATACATGAATCTTTTTCTCTAGCCATGATTGTTTCCCTGGGGAGGGTCTAAAAGGTGAAGTCTGAGATGGTGGGGTGTGAACCTTCAAGGTCTTGATGGTGCTGCGTTGACTTTGTGTCCCACTGCCAGGGTGTGAGTGTGCTTGTCTTGCTGCGCTGTGCCAGCCCTGAGCACTCTACTTATTTTCAACACACTGCTTTGTTTTGATTTGCATTTTTCAGTTACTAATGGGGTTAAATGTTTTTCAGTTGTTCATTAAGTTTTCCTTAATTTTAGTTGTTCATCCATTGCTCTTCCCATTTATTTTCTTTGGGCTTAAATAGATGTTTTATAAAGCAGATAGCCTTTTTATATTATTGATTCTGTTTTTCTCAGTTTAGCACTTCACTTTGGTGATTATTTTCCCTTCAAGGTAGAGAAAAGTCTGTCCCTATTCCAAATTTATATAAAATTTTACCTATATATTTCTTCTTCTGCATGCTTTTTTTAAACATTTATGTTTTCAATTCATTTGGATTATGTTGAGTGTAATATGCTATGAGATTCTCAGCTGATTTTCTTCCAGATATTTAGCCAGTTTACTAAAACTGTTTGTTAAATAACCCATTTCTAATTAGTTTTTTATGCTTAATTAATTATATTAAAACTATGTGTGCTTGTATGTATAGTGTTTCAGAGTTATCTGTTCTCTTCCATTGATCTGTTTGATCCTTGCATCAGTACCATAGTATTTTAATTACCATGGTAATCGTTTTTATTTTTCTTCTTCAAAAAATGGCCTTGTTCAGAAACTGTAGTAATGGTGGCACTTGTAATAGTAAACTATTATTGAGTGCGAACTACGTGCCAGGCATGAACTCACTTAATCCTCAGAACACTATCACTCTATTCCTATTTTACAGATGAGGAAACTGAGGCATAGAATGGAAAGTTACTTGCCCAGGGACACACTAATTGTGTAAGTGGTAGAGCTGGAGTGAACTATAGAATCAAGACTTTACTATCCATTAAAAAAAATGTCTTATATGGAGTGATTGGGACTATAGTTATTTTGACATAAAGGGTGTCTTAATTTTTCAGATAATCTTAATTCTCCACAGCCCAAAACATGTTTCTCTTTCTCCATCTGTTTCTTTAAAATTTTTATTGGTGAGGTTATTCATAGGGCTCTCCTATTTTCTGGTGCTACTGGAATTAGGATTGTTTTTTCTGTTTTCTAATGATCAAGGCTGATAAGATAATGCTGGCCTTTTTCATAATGGCCTTTTTGATAGCTACCCTCAATGCTTTATTAAAATTTGATGCAATGTAAGATGTAACATTTTATTGATTTTCAACATATCTCCTACTCACACAAAATGGAGACAATAGATTATAATGTTTTAAAGAACAAAGGACATCTACTCAAAGCCCTGTTTTCCAGGTGAACAGTGTCATTTTTTACAAAGATCTGTGAAAGGAAGAGTAAGCTAAAATCAGAACACCCAGGGAAAACCAACATAGTTTGAACCTTGTATTTTCCTGTTTTGATTAAAATAAGTCTTTAAAGTATATTTGTTTTTGAGAGCAGGATCTACTTTTGGTTCTGAAATAGGCTCTGCTTTGGAAAATCTTAGAAACTTCCTTTGAAGGTGAGAGGACTCCTGTCTAGGGAAAAGTATTTTGTTTTTGTTTTTTTAGACTCGACCTGGAAGTGTTCCTTAGGTCACTCTCAGGCCACTTGGCTTTAGAAAGAATGTAGAAAAACCAAGTTCTAGTCAGGATCCATTCTTGAAAGATTGACAAGCTCCTCAGCATTGCTAGAATTTCTGTCATTGCTGTTAGCAAATGTGGCATTTGATTCTTTGTTCTCTCTCAGCTTCTGTTTCTCTACCTCATGTATTACAAGTATGTAATGCAGGATCAGCCAGGGAAATTAAAAGCTATCTGGCGCAAACAGAAAATCAGTTTTTAAACTGTCAGTAAGGACATTCCTGCAGTGAATCAGCATAAGAAAATGAGGTGAAAATTCAGCATGAGGTTGACTCTGCAGTTCATTTTGCAAGATTTGTCATGGCAAATCTTCATAATTTCTATTGAGCAGAGACTGAGACTTTATTATTTCTGATTGTTGGCGAGATTCTGTGGATTTAGATGCTAAGCAGGCTTTTGCCCTGGGTTATGACACCTTCATGTCTTTCTTCTTGCAGTCCACTCTCAAGAAACACAGAAAAGTTGCATGCTCCTTAAGTCACACGTCCCTTAAGCTGGACTGGGGTTGAGTTTGTATAAACTGTTGCCGTTTTTCTTTTTCCCTCTCACTTTGTCCCATTTCCAGCATTTCCTTCTGTCTCGCCTCCCGTGCGTATCAGTCTAAAACCACACTCCATTAGGAGGAAGTTCATACGGGGTGAGTTGGTTGTTTTCTTGAGTCTGGTACTGAGAAAGTACATACGTGTGTGTTTTCTTTTTTTGACAATTTTTTTAACTTCATTTGGATAAAATTTTACTCTTAGAGAAAGTTATAAGTGTAAGAATAGTGCAAGAACACCTGTATACTCTCATTATCCAGAGTCACCTATGTTTATCATTTGCCTTGTTTGCTTATTCTCTCTCTCTGTGTGTGTGTGTGTGTGTGTGTGTGTGTGTGTTTGTGTGTGTGTATAAATATATAAGCTGGAAGGGGGTGACTATTTGAGAATACGTTGCAATCATCAAGGTACTTTACTCCTAAATGTTCAGTATATTTTTCCTAAAAATAAGGATATGCTTTTACATAATCAATACAGTTATCAACCTCTGTAAATCTTACATTGAAAAAATACTTTAATCTATCGTTAGTGTTCTAGTTTCATCAGTTGACAATATTCTTTGTAACATTTCTTTTCCTCCAGATGTTACACTTAGTTGTCACATCTCCATAGCCTCCGTTAATTTGGAACATTTCCACAGTCATTCTTTGTCTTCCAGGACATTGACATTTGTAAAGAATATAGTTCCAATTTAAAAGAACGTTCATCTTTTGGAGTTTTTCTGATGTTTCCTCATGACCAAATAAAGCTGGAATACTCCATAAGTCATAAGTGATGATGCATCCTTCTCGAGTATCTCATCTGGAGGTGTGTGATGTTTAGTGATATTAATTTTGATTACCTGATCAAGGACTTGTCCTATTTCTCCACTGTATAGTTACTATTTTTTTCTTTGACACTAATGAGCAGTGAGTGGGGAGATAGTGTGAGACCATGCACATCCTCCTCATCAGATTTCCCCTAGCCAATTCTAATTTTATCTAAACTTTATTAGATCATCTTAAGATAAAAATAATTTTCTCTTGAGGCCTTAATTGGCAAGCAGATTTAACTACTCTCTTTTGAAATTGTTTCTCTAGCAAGGTGAGCAGTAATTAACAAACATAAAATTACTATACATTGAAGCTGCACTAAAAAAAATGCCATAATGGTTAAGCTTTTTTCCACTCTAAGCTGTGCTTCTCTCTATTTGTATCCGGTTACCTCCCCATTAGAAAAGCCATCACCATTTTATTATAGGAAAAACAATCAGTTCTTTCTCCTCAGGCAGTTTCTAATGAAAACGGTATCAGGTATCAGAGATACTAAACATTTACCAAAAGCTTAAATATTGATGAAAATTTTTACTAAGCAAGTGAAATTTTTTTTAATTTGGTTTTTGTAAACACTGGCAGGAAGGTGGACATATCAGGATACCTGGTCATAACTCTTCCACCGTCTTCTCGGGGTGTGCTCCTGGTAGAGGAGAGAAGTCCTTTTACTTTATCATATCTGCCTACTGCAGTGGGCCATTCGCTATCCATACTTGATGAAATAATTTTGGTGATATTATTCTCAGACCCAAAATATGAGTTATTTTCGAGTAATTTAGAGCAATATGATTACTCCAAATAAATTGAGGTTTTGTGCCTATGCCTCCATAGATCCCTAAACACCAGAGTGCTATTCGTTCTTATTGGAGAGGAAAGCAGTTTCTTCGTGGTTAGGTCAGTTTCCTAGATGCTATTCTTTATTTCAGAATCAAAGTGTGGAGGCGTATTGCACACAGGGTGTGGAAGAGAGCTTTGAAGTCAGGTGATCTCTGGTTTGACTCCAGCTCTGTCACTGTGCTCTCAGTGAGTTTTGAGTAAATCCCTTAATGCCTAATTTCCTTTCCTCATCTGTGAAACAGATGCTGTTACCTGCTATGTGAAGTTGCTGGGAGGACTGAATGTAATGCTTGTAAAGTGCCTTGGCCCCTGGCTCCTAGGAGGTGCTCAGCAGAGCAATAGCAGTGATTATTTTCTTGAGAAGTTAATTGAGGTGGTGGATGGCAGTACCTTGAGAGGAGCCTCCCTTCACAATTTGGTTTGTGTTTGCCAGGGAGCTGGGGTCCGGAGTGGGATAGTAATCTGTCATGGAGTCCCAGGAGCCCAAATGTGCAGGCCAGTCCCAAGTGCTCAGAGCATGAGGAGGACGAGGAGTACTGGGCTCTCCGTCTCACTGGACTGACTGTCAGCCAGGAGGTGTTGTTTCAGTCCCAAGATAGCTTGGAAAACCCCATGGCTACCATTCAAGCGCTCTTCAGTCGGGTGACCATGTGGGTGAGCCCCTGTGAGTCCCGAGAGGCCATTTAGGACATCCAGGAAGAGCCTCAGAGCTAGTCTGTCTGTGTGCCGGGGTGAGGATCTCTGGCATGTCCGGGGGAGCAGCTTCTGCCCGGAGTATTCTTGACTGGGGAAGGGCCGGGTTACCAGGCGCCATCGGGCAGTCTAGACACCTTGTCCTGGCTATGCCCTGGAGACTCACAGTCCATATGCCACCAGACAGCAAAGGGATTATGAGACTTGAAGGCTTGGAATAAACACACATAAAATATGACCGGAGCCCTGCATTTTTAGCTAATAACTTCAGTGGGTGAGGAATTGTGGGCTGGCTCAGAGATGGCTGCTGTTAGCACCATTTGCCTTTCTGCTTCCCTAGAACTTGCTGCTGTTTGGCGAAGGGCTGCAGTTTTGCTGCCTAACTTCTGAGAGACACTCCTTATTCACTTTCATGACTTTCCATACTTGCTGTCCCAGGTGGGTAAGCTCAGGAGCTAGTCTGTGTGTCTGATATTAAAATAAAACAATCCAAACAGTCCTCCTAAAATTAACATTAATACCACTGGAAACATTTATTATGCAAATAATTCAGAATAAGGCAAAGACCACTTGGATTAGCTTGCTCTCAGTTTGATATTTTGGTTAAATGAAATTATTTTATATTTATATGTTCTTTGTATTTTTAAAAGTACATATAAAAATAAAGGACCCAAAAAAATCACACTATTTTCAGGTCTCTGATATAACTGGTACGAAGATATTTGTTGTTCTAATCTTTCTGGAAAGCAAACTAGGTGAGTGTAACCAAAGTTATAAAATTATTCGTAGCTTCTCTTATCCCTGGCTGGTCAATTTTAGGACTCTATCTAAGGAAATATCTTCTCTCCCGGAACAGGGAAACTAAAAGTGCGCTTCATGGCTGAACATTTATAATCAGCTGAAGTGGAAGCCTGTGAGGGGTGTGGCCAGGAAGGCTAGTGTGTTACATAGGACTGAGGTGTGGCACTAGGAAGCAATGCTGCCTGGGTTGTTCTCTGAGGAGAGGCTGTGAGGGGAGGAAAGGGTGCTCCCCAGTTGGTGTGTACACCCCAGATGGTGTGTACATCGTGATTCTGACCACGTGGCTGAGAGCCACCTACAGTTTTTACACACTCCTTACTCCAGCAGCTGTAGGTGGAGTTTCTCTGGGAGCTCATTAGGACTCTCCTCACACTGGGGGTTGGGGAGGGGTTCCTGACCATCTTCAAACCTGGGCCCCTATTGTTCTAAGTCTGTGTCTCTATCAATTTAGAACAATGTAAAGGGGGTGAATGTTTGTTTACTTACTTATTTCTTTGTTTCCCTCTAAAGTTGCTTGAATTTATATAGAAATAAAACCATGTTACACGTTATAGTGGTTCTTTTTTTAAGACCTTGAGTGTATGATCTTGTACTATTTAGAAAAGCAGGCTGAGTGTCTACATGCTTCAGAGTGGCTCAGCAGCTGACATCTTTCTCTCAACTGAATATGAATAACTTGCATTTTTAATTAAAAATCACAGATTTATTTTTGAGATTCCTGAAGTTCTTGGATTATAAAATTCCCCAATTCTGGACAGATTGAGGATTTTATGTAAGCTAAGGTTTTAAAATGAGGATTTCCAATTGGTAGAAAGTAATGTATACATGTGTGTCCAAATTCTTTTGTGCTGAAACTTAAATAAATGTTGATGAGCTTTCACTGGTGAATGTTCTAGAGGATTGCAGGAAGGCTGGTTGTTGAAGAGCCACACACTTTCTACCTGTACGTGTGTATTTACACATGGCCACGTGCATTTTACTACCCTCATGTATATAGTCAAATAAATACATGTGCATGTGTACACACATTCTTTCATATCACTTCTTGTCTGATTTGGCACCTTCCAAAACTCATTTTGAGGTGCCAGAATAAGTTTTATTTTGGCTTTTAGATGACAGCCTCCAGAGGAATGGCATCCACAATTACTCTTCGTCTCTGGGGGCAGCAAAATGTCCACAGCACTTGGGAACAGTCGGGTCAGTTGGAGTGGCATGCCCCCAGGAAGACAGAAACCTTCTTGTACAGTTGTCTGTTTTTATTATCATAGACAGGTGGTTGATAGCTGTTTTATTTCTCCCAAATATGGCTTTCGTTTTGGAGGAAAAACTTGGAATAAGTAGTGACTTACTTCATAGATGCTCTGCCCTTCTCCCCGACCCCACCAGTGGAGGGTGACATTGCTCCTTCAGCTCCCCACTTCTCAGCTCTGGGACATCGGTGAGTTCCCCAGGAAGGATGCGGACGAGGACAACCATGTACCTGCCCTAAGTGGGGAGACCAGGCGTGTGTACAGATAAACTTAATAGAGAGGCAAAAATGAAGCATGTCAGAAACACAGAAGTGCGGAGATTGTTCAGACCTCTCTTGGGTGATTACAGTGGACTCCTTATTGATCTTTTAGCTAATAAAATGAATGGAAAAATATTTCATAAGTGTACAATATGCAGTAGGAAAATAGAGTACTGTTTACTTAAAAGTCTGAAAAACACTGCTGTACTGCTTCCGTGCAATCACAACTGGGGTTTAGACACCCACTATCTTATCTTGTCTATTCCAAAAGGAGTCTAACATTTGTTTCTGACTCCACAGCCAGCAGTCTTTCTAGCACAACTTGTGATCCTCCCTGGATTAGACTCTTTCGGCTGTGGGAGAAGATTCCCACCTCTGTGTGTGCCTTCGAAGGCCTTTAGGATCTGGGCCCGCAGCCCCGTCTGTCACTGGCTGCCCCTGGTTGCCACTGATCCCTACCACCAGCCACACTGTACCATATGCTGCTTTGGCTTTTGGAATTTGAACAAAATCTAGCTTAACTCAGACATGCCCTCTAGGACTATATTGCTGTCATCATTTAAGGAATCAGAACTGTAGTGAAGAATACTTTGTAAATCAGCTTTACATACAGTTTTCAAAATAATCATGTATACAAACATATATAAGGTGTATTTGTCATTCACCATTCATTGAAGTGTTTATTACATGTTCTGTTTTGTCCCTCCCAGGGAAGAATCAACCAAAGTCCTGTCAGCCTTCCCCAGGAAGGCTTTCTATAGAGGACATGTGTGTTAGTTATATGTTGCTATGGAACAAGTTATCTCAAAATTTAGCAGCTTAAAACAACAAACACATTATTGTACACAGTATCTGAGGATCAGGAATCCAGGTACAGCTTAGCTGGGGTTCTGAGGTTGCAGTCAAGCTGTTGGCTGGGGCTGTGGTCATCTGAGGCTTGCCTGGGAGGGCCCTGCCTCTAAGCTTGCTCATGTGGTTGCTGGCAGGTTCATTTCCTCTTGGCTGTTGGCATGAGGCCTCAGTGCCTCACCACGTGGACCTCACCGTCAGCTGCCTGAGTATCCTCACAGCATAGCACTTCTCTTCCCCCAGAGTGAGTGATTCGAGAGAGGGGATCCAAGACAGAGATCAAGCTTTATATTTATATACAACCAGAAAATAAGTGGCACCCAAATACCTCAGGCTTAAAAAAAGTGAGACAGCAAGCATGGGAGCCTTTGTTGATAATAATGGCCTCTTTTTTCCATTTTGAGCCATATGAGATTCCCTACGTGCTGGGGGGGAGATAACTGCTCTAGGTAGATGTTTGTGTATTTCATGATCTGGTCCATAAGCGTTGTTGGAAAAAAGTGAAAATTAAAAGGAAACAAGTCTTGGCTAAAGGGGAAAAAAAAGTAAGTACAATTGCATCCTTTAGATCTCAGATTCTCTTTCTCATGACTTTATTCCAATTTATGTCCGTTACTTCCTTGAACATCCCACTGGTGACAGGCATAGCTGCCAGCTTCCAAGAGTCCTAATGATTCCCAGCTCCTGGGACTCACCCTTGTGCAGTCCCCTCCCACACAGTACCAGCGGTGGTCTGTGGGATGCTGTCACTTTTTGAAATCCAGTAAAAAGGTTTCTGTCTTTTTTACCTCATTGGTGAGTGATTGGGGAGTGGGACCCATGGGCCCTTTGATTAATGTGACTCTGATGTCCCAGTGAAAGTCTTTGTCATTCTCAGGCCGACTGCAGCAGTGGCCCAGGGCAAAGAGTGTGCGTCATCGATGAGATTGGGAAGATGGAGCTCTTCAGTCAGCTTTTCATTCAAGCTGTTCGTCAGACGCTGTCTACCCCAGGGACTATAATCCTTGGCACAATCCCAGTTCCTAAAGGAAAGCCACTGGCTCTTGTAGAAGAAATCAGAAACAGAAAGGATGTGAAGGTGTTTAATGTGAGTACAGCCAGTCCTCCATAATCAGTGGAAATGGAGCAGATGATCTAAAATAGCAGATGGCTCTAAAATATCTCTTTGGTTTTGAGTTAACATTTTTTCCCTTCCATGCTGAAATGTAGGTGAGTCTAATTTTCTAGAAATGTATAGAACTTAAATTATACCTCTACTTGATGAAAAAACAAACTCGCTTATGGGGGGGCCTCCTGACGGTCCCAGTTGTTCTGGCTGCTTTTTTCTTCCATCTCCTCACCAGACACTAGGACCTCTCTGGCATCAGAATTGCCTGAGCTAAGGTGCTTGTTCTAAGCTTATCTCTTCTCAGATTGAAAGGCGCCAGGTTGGGATACAGAGGCAAATATTTTTTGTTTTGTTTTAAAGATTTCCCTTTTAAAGCTGACCCACTTGTGCTTGTGGGGAGAAGAGGCTGTGGATGTGTTGGGAGACACAGCTTCCAGGTGCTGAAGAGCAGCACCGTCCAGTTGAACTTCCCAGTAGTGAGGGAAATGTGCTCTCTGCATTGCTCAGAACAGTAGCGACTAGCCACATCTCGCTATTTATGTTTAATAAATTTAATCATATTTAAATTGAATTATTTATTTAATCACATAAATAATCAAATTTAAATTGAATTAAACATTTGGATTCTCAGTCACACTGGCCACATCTGAGGTGCTCTGTGGTCTCGTGTGGCTGCTACATTCACTAGTGCATCTGTAGGATGTGCCACTCAGTGTGAGGCTTGCAGAATGGCAGCATGGGCATCACCTGGGAGTGGGCCTTGCCCTGGTCCAAGGAGTCAAACTCTGGGGGATGGCCCCATGATCTGTTCTGGCAAGTTCTCATGTGGTTTTTAGGTCCCCCGCACTTTGAGAAGCACTGCTGTAGACCACATGTGAGAGATGAGGGGCTAGGGCTTGTTGACCAGTGGCAGCGTCTGAGCCAGTCGGAAGGGACTCATGGCATTGCTGGCACTTTGTCTAAATTCTTGCCTTTCTTTCCCTGTTGTCCCTCTGTTTTCCTCTCAGTCAGATATTGCTTCTCCCCAACCCCTACCCTTAGTTTCTTTGAGTCAGTGGTAGCTGTGCTCTTGGCTGAGCTCTGCTCACACACCTCACTCCCCACCCCCAGTTTAAAAGCTCCCTGGCCCTGCAAGTGCCAAGTGAACAAGTCAGGCAGGCAGGGCCACTCCTATCAGGGGGAGTGGAGAGTGAGTACCCGTGAGCACCTTCCTCATGATCATTTTAATCACTGAGTGAAATGTCACCTTGGCCCACTGGCAGTATCCACATGTTGCCACCAAAGAATCCTGGAGTATCCACATGTTGCCACCAAGAATCCTGGAGTGTGGTGGTAAACAGCCATTAGGGTTAGACCAGCCAGACTTGGAAAAATGTATGCGCTTCTTTATTGATTTATTTATTCCTTCATTTGGTCAATAGTGATTGAGCACCTACTGTATGCTAGGTGTCATTCTAAGTCTTGGGATACTGTGGTGAACGAGACTGACCAAGGCGCTGCTTTCATGGAGCTTACATTCTAATGGAGGAGCTGAATACCAAAAATGTGAACAGATAAGTTAAGCAATTTCAGATACTGATAAAGGCAAAAATAAAGAAACCAGGCAATGTGGTAGTTGGGGGCAGGAGTAGCAAGGGCGATCAGGGAAGGTCTCTTCAAGGAGGTGACATTTGAGAGCCCTGAAAAGTCTGTGGGGTTCTTCAGAGTTTCATGTCGTCTTCTCTTATTTTACATTTTTGGTTGTGATTATAGAGTTTCCATGGAAATCAAGGCAATGAATAGTGAAAGATCATGAAAGAAAATTAGTTTTGAGGTCAGATAGCTTCTAGGCTGGAAGACCGGGAAATTGCTAGTGTTAGACTCCAGGGATTGGCTAGTTCCACAAACTAATCTAATCTAACAGTCCTAAGGAAGGATTGAAAGGAGCTGACTGTGATGCCCAGAAACAGACTTTGTGTCTTAGGATCATACCACATTTCTTCCGCTCTCTGAGACTCAAAATTATTCTCCAGGCAAGATAATCATTGCTTCTAATGATCTGTAAATAAAACAATTAGCTTTGAGTTAATTAAGTAAGAGATAGGGGCTGACATACCCTGTTTTTTTTTGTTGTTGTTGCTTTGGGGTTTGTGTGGTCCTTCTGTTTCAGTTTTATTTTATTTTTTATTTAACTTATTTTTTTGAGGGGGAGGGACAGAGTCTTGCTCTGTTGCCCAGAGTAATCTGTGCTGGGATTACAGGTGTGAGCCACTGTGCCTGGCCTTTTCCAGTTTTATAAATCAAGAACCTCATTTTCTTTTTTTCTGAGACAAGGTTAGTCTCTGTGGCCCATGCTGGAGTGCAGTGGCATGCTCTTGGCTCACTGCATCCTCTGCCTCCTAGGCTGAAGCCATCCTCCACCTCAGCCTCCCAAAAAGCTGGGACTACAGGCATGTGCCACCACACCTGACTCATTTGTGCATTTTTTGTAGAGATGGGGTTTCACCATGTTGCCCGGGGTTGATCTCGAATTGAAGAGCTGAAACAATCTGCCTGCCTCAGCCTCTCAAAGTGTTGGAATTATAGGCATGAGCCACTGTGCCTGGCCAAGAACCTCATTTTCTTTATCTGCAAACTTAGGTGTTGGATTAGATATATTTTTGGGTTCTTTCCATTGCTCACATGCAATAAAGTATCCGAATCCATTTTTGAGAGTGCCCTTCACATTCAGTACTTAGTCCATCGTTTAGGCACCTGTGAGGCATGATCTCTGCCCTCAAGAAAAACAGACCATGGGGCAATCAAAATCTAGGGGCAGGGAAGGGAGAGATCTATGTGAGCAGTGGTAGTGGAGAGGTGTCCAAAGGAAGGGGTTCTTGAGTTGGCTCTTGAAGGAGGAAATGGGAAAAAGAAGGGAGAACATTCCAGGTAAGAAAATGAGCTATGAAAAGGGGTCAGAGTCAGCGTCCCCTTGCTACCAGCTGAACATGCGTAGTGTGAAGATGAGACTGAGCCCGTGATATGGGGGAAATGTACCACACGAATTAGTAATATTATCTAGACTTATTCTTCACAATGTTGGGTGAACAGAGTACTTTCCAATGAATATGCATAGTGTGAAGATGAGACTGAGCTCATGATATGGGGGAAATATACCACACAAATTAGTAATATTATCTTGACTTATTCTTCATAACGTTGGGTGAACAGAGTACTTTCCAAAAACACCCGAGAACTCTTCCAGTTTTAGACAAGATAGAGTAGACACACTTGTGTTTATTTTTCCTGCTAAGGATGTTATTTATAATACAAGCATAAGAAGACCTGAAAAGTGAAGAGAAAAAGACAGACTGGCTAGGAACCTAAGGACCTAAGGAACAACACAACAGACACAACTGAAAATCATTTGTCATGCCAAGAATCAGGAATACCTAAACCTGAGTGAGGAAAGGCCATCAGCAGATCTCAACAGCAAGGTGACTCAGATAGTGGAATTATAGGGCAAGGATTTGAAAACAGCTATCATAAAAATGCTTCATAAAATTACAGATACACATGAAACAAATGAAAAATAGTCTCAGCAAGAACTGGAAAGTTTCAGCAAAAACCTAGAAGATAGAAGAATCAAATGAAAATTTTAGAACTATACAATAGCCAATAAAAAAGTCACTGAATGGGCTCATCAGCAGAATAGAGATGACAGGAGAAAGAATCAGTGAACTTGAAGGTAGAACAATAGAAATTACCTGACAAAGAGCAGACTTAAAAGAAAAAGTAATGAACAAAATGAACAGAGTTTCTGGGACCTGTGGGACTATAACAAAAGATGTGACATTCACATCATTGTAGTAACAGGAGATGAGTGTGGGGTTGAAAAAGTGTTTGAAGAAGTAATGGCTGCATTTTTGTCATATTTGGCAAAAGACATAAACCTACATTTTCAGTGAACCCCAAGAGGATAAACTCAAATTCATGCCAAGACATACCATAGTCAAACTTATGAAAATTAAAGTCTTGAAAGCAGTGAAAGGAAAGCAGCACCTTACCTATAGGGTAAAAACAATATGAGTGACAGCAGATTTCTCAGGAGAAACCATGAAGGCCAGAAGGAGGTGGTACATTTTCCAAGTGTTGAAACAACTGTCGACTCATAATTCTATAAGACATTCACAGATGAAGGAAAACTAAGAGAATTTGTCATAATAGAACTGCTCTAAAAGAATGGCCAAAGGAAGTTCTCTTATCAGAAAGGAAATGGTAAAAGGAGACCTGGAACATCAGGAAGGAAGAAAGAACAATGGGAAGAGTAAAACTCTGAGTGAGTGTAGTGGGCTTTTCTTCCTCTGTTGACTTTTGAAGAATTATGTTTGACAGTTGAGGCAAAACGATAACATTCTCTGATGTGTTAAAAAAAATAGCTGAAAAAAGAAAAGAAAGAACAGTACCTGAGAAGGAAAATAAAATCTCACTGATACAATCTTTGGCACCTCCTATTACCTAGTAAAGCATCAGTAGAAGAAATTGGTGATGGAGTATTTTTATTCATCTATTTGGTAAATATTGAGCACGCACTGTATGTCAGGTACTGTTCTATCCACTGGAGTTTTAGCAGTGAACAATAGAGAGGGAGAACCAGACATCATTTTATCAGTAACCCAGTCCTGCCATAACTCACTCCCTCCCACTATAATGGCATTAATCCATTCATGAGGGCTGCCCCCATGACCTAATCACCTCTTAAAGGTCCCACCTCTATTTGCATGGGGGTTAAGTTTCCAACACATGAAATGTGGGGGACACAGTCAAATCATAGCAGGTGACTTATGGGTTCTTCAATAATTTGTTTTTCAGAACTCTAAGAGGTTATTACCATTGTATCCCATTGAGTTTTATCCCATTGTATCCCAATGAGTGTGTCATTGATTGATTTTGCTGCCTTCTAGTTAATGTCATAACATTGAAAATGTTATCAACAACTTTAGTTCTTTTTCAAGCTGGCAGCTTCATAGTATGACTAAGCCTCTTGTTTAGACCTTGGGGTGCACATGTTCTTGGCAGCAGTGAGTGGATATTATCTGATCTTCCAGGCTGCTTGCATGCTACCTCACTGCCTTCTAACTTGTTTAATATGATCAGTGTCTGTATGCCCTGCTCAGTCTCCCCTTCCCGCTTCTTGATTGTTTAAATAAGAAGTTGAGGTGGTGATATCACAAATTTGTCTTCTCATCTGGTTGGCCTAGGTACGGCGAGAGACAGTACTTGACTCATCTGCTGGGCACAGATGCAGTACCAGATACTGGGTCCTGCTTATGTTCTGACTTTAACAACCCCAGACCTGAAAACATGGATGGAGCAGGCAGGGGAAGAAATGCCTCTTAGTATACAACTATGTGCAAGAAAGCAAAACAAAACCACATGCATTTCCTTGAAACTGTGGGAAGGGCCCCCAACATTCCTAATAAGCAAGGGATTGGATCTGGAGGTCACAGGATGAATGAGATGTGGCCTCTGACCCCATGGTGCTCACAGTCTTATCTTCACTGTGCCCAGGATAAATTCTTACCAAGGGCCCCCCTACAGCCACTGGGCAGGTGCAAGGGTTCAGGTTCACTCAGCTTCCTTTCTTTCTCTTAAGGCTCCAGTGCAGAAAAAAAGAATGGTTGGGATTACTTTCTTCTTTCTGCAGTCTTCTTTATTTCCTTTTCCTGCTCCCAGCTCCCAGTTCCCTCTTCTAATTAGCTTCTCAGGAAAGGCTTTCTGCAACCAAAATTCTGGCTGTTGAATAAAAAGTAGACTAGAATTTCACATAAGGCAAAGACTCCTGAGGTTGGCAGATGCTGTGATCCTTGTTCTTGCATTTGGGAGTGTGCTTTTCTCAACAGGGAATATCATAAGTGAATACTGCAGAGAGTTGCACATCAACATTTTATTGCATAATTTTCAGAAATAATCTTAGGGAAATCAAAGGGAGTATCAAAATATTAATATTGGAGTGTTTGCATTCTGCTCAATTTTCAAATTAATTTTTAATTTGTAATTGATATAATGTACATATTTATGGGGTACAGTGTGATGTTTCAGTGCATGTATACATTGTATAATGATCAAATCAGGGTAATTTCCATATCTGTCACTTTAAATTATCATTTTTGTGGTGATGACATTCAAAATCTTCTCTTCTAGCTATCTTGAAATATACACTACCTTGTTATTTACTCTGTAGTCACCGTACTGTGTCATAGAAGACCAGAGCAAATTCTCCAGCTGTGTATCACAGTCCACTCTCACAGAGCCTGGCTGGAGGCAGAAGCTACTGCAATCACTGCTGAACTCAGAGTGGAAGAAAAGGGCCCCTGTGGTGCCCACCTCTGTGTCGCCTCCTTTCTACCTCAGGTGGATTCCTTGAATGCAAACAACAGGAATGGACTTTGGCTAACTTAAGTGAAAACAGCATCAAAAAGCCTTATAGGCTTTGGAGCTGTCCCATGAAGCCAAAGGAAAAGCTGACTGTCCTCATTTCAAGTGGAGCCACAGCCGCCCAGGATTGACGCAGCCAGGACCAGTAGAAATGGGATCACAGGATTGACGCAGCCAGGACCGGTAGAAATGGGATCACGGGACTGACGCAGCCAGGACCAGTAGAAATGGGATCACGGGATTGACGCAGCCAGGACCAGTAGAAATGGGATCAGCTTCTGGCACTTGCTGCGTGAGCTCACTCCTCTTGGGGTGCAGATCTCAGTCACTCCTCTTGGGGTACAGATCTCAGAGAAGTTGCCAGGGCCTGGCTTGCCCACTTGTTGGCTGGGGGCAAGTTTCCTAGACCGTACAGTCTCCTAAAGACAACCAGAGCACTCTTCCAAGAAGGGTGAGCAGGTGCCAGGAACCAGAATTGACGAGGTCCGCTCTGCATCTCCTCTTCAGACATGTATTGGCACCTATTGTATGCCAGGCCCCCTCTTCAGATACAACCACCCTGAACCTCAGAAGGCTTCCACATGCACTCCCTGCTCTTACCGGGAACCTTGGCTCAGCCCCTTTTCCATGGTTCACCTGTCGAAATTACATCCAGGCTTAAGCACCCCTGGAAGCCTTTCCTGCCCCTGACCCCACACATGCCCCTGTTCCTGCCTGCCCCCCAGACTCCTTCATTGTCCTTGTTCATGCCTGTCCTGTCCTGGTCTGCGAGCTCCATGAGGTCAGGGTCCTTACCTGTGGTGCTTCTCTATGCGCATCTCTGTGCCTGGCTCCTGTTTGCCCTTCCACCCCATCAGCGTGTGTTGAGTGGATGGATATTATATGGGCCAAGTAGGAAGGCACTGTGATGGGAGCAGAGATGGCCCTTCCTTTACCCTGGGGCACTCGGGATGGTGTGGTAGTGAAAGAAAAATAAACAGATCATCGGGTAAAGCTCTGGTGAACTCTTTGTTGCTTTTGTTTGATTTTGTAATGGTGTAAGTGTTGGAGAACACACTGCAGTCAGGAGGCCTGAGTAACAGTCTGTACGGAGGCACCCTCACGTCTCTGGCTCTCCCACTTCTCCATGTTTCAAATGAGCACTTGATGTTTGTGGAGAGGCGGGTAGATGACTGAGCATCCCAGAATCCTGGGCGCTTCACTGCTGCTCTGCTGGGTGCCCTCCTGGGCCCCGCTGGCTCCCAGGCTCTCCTCCTCGCTTCACTCCAACAGTTGAGTTCCTTCCATTCAGGACAGGTCGTGCTCAGGGGTCCTGTGTGCCCATCATCCGTCCCGGTGTGCCTCGTCGGACTCACTTCACAGCTCTCCCCATGGTTGGCTGAAATCTGTCTGGGCTCCAAACCCACTTTGACTTTTTGAGCTGTCACTTGGCAGAAACTGATGCTGGGACTCGGTGATTCCTGTCCTGTTTCTGAGTGCTCCTGAAGAGCTGGGCCTCCTGCCTGGGTAACAAAACATACCTCACCCTCTCCCAGCCTTCCAGGCGTTTCTTTTAGAGAGTTACCTAGCACAAGATTGAAGAAGAGGAAAGGAGCTCTGAAGCCTGTTCTCTCACTTCTTCCCACAGGTCACCAAGGAAAACAGAAACCACCTTCTGCCAGATATCGTGACGTGCGTGCAGAGCAGCAGGAAGTGAAGACACGTGCATTCCTGCCTTCCGTGAAGGAGTGCCCAGTTCAAGAGGAGCCTGATGGAGCCCTGCCTGTCGAGGCTGTATGCCTATGGGGTTATGGAACCTTGTGGGCTTTTCTAGAGAAAACTCAACAGCTGTTTCCCATAAAATGTTTAAAAGATCAAATTAGCCTTAATGCTGGATTGTCTGTACAAGATTAACTATCCATTGTGGCTTATCTATGCTTAAAGATTTCTTGTTTATTTCCTCTTGCAGTCATGCACATGATTTGGGTAAACTGTGAGATGAGAAATGGTTTTCAGAGTATTAGATGGAATTCACCCCCGTTGAAGTTTATAAATGTGTTCAGGGGAAGCGGGAGGAAAGAGTTCACTGCCTAATCAGTTTTGCATGTCATGAAAATTAAATTCCTCTCCAGGTGCAGCTTCAGCCTCATGCAACTTAAAGTGATAACAGTTATTTGATTTTTTAAAAAATATTATTCCAAAAGAAAACCATTTTAGGTCATCTCCCCCAACTCTGTTTGCTTACTGCTTAATAAATATAAAAATAAATCTGATGGTTACAGACAGGAGGCATTGTGTGGGAGGAATACACAACCTTTGGAAGTGTTGATAGCATCTGATATTCAGCCGACCAGATGACAAGAGCTCAGGCCCACGGGTTTGCATAAGAGCACTGCTTTGCCTTAGTTTACTCGGGAGCAATTTTGAATCTTTCTATGCCTAGTTTCCCTTCCAGAAAAGCAGGAAGTGGCTGTCATCTCAGGAGTGATGTCACACCACAGAAGGAAACTGTCAACCACTCCACACAACTGTGGAGAGTGCCCAGTGCCAGGGGCTGGGCTTATCAGGAATAATGGTGTAGCAATGCGGAGTTCAGCCCATAACAGGGGTACTATAAAAATGAAGTAGGAAAGTAGAAGAGACCCCTGAAACCCCAGAACTGATAGAGGATAAAAACTTCCCTCCAAGTGGTAGATGGTACTGGAGTGATAAACAGTTCAGTGTTTTTAGGTCATTTTTGGTGAAGATCTATGAATTTCCAGGATTTTTTTTTAACAAATTAGCATTGGCTACAAACCCACTGGTATAAGCAGCAGTGTGCCTTCTCTCTAACTGTGGACAAGTCGGGCATGTGGCGGGTGAGGAGCCCTGGGCTGGGCACTGGGGCACAGTGAATGGGGCGGGAGGGGCTCACATCAAAACCAAAATGGCACGCAGCCCAGGTCTGGTTCCTCCATCAGTGTCTCTTTCCTCAGCGCTTTTCTTCCGAGGTAACTTTGTGAAGCTTGACTTGGACTTGCCTAGCCTTGGAGGGACCACAACAGGGAGGCCTAATAGATTATGAACTAAGCCCTCAAAAGGGCTACCTGCCCAGGAGGAGGAAGTGGGCATCTCCTTCCACAGTCCCTGCCTGGCGGGGCTGTTCAGGGAGACTGAGTTCCGAGCTCAGGATGTCTGGCAGGCTGGCTGTGACTTCCAGCCACCATCACCAGGACACCGGTGTGGGCTGCATGCCTCAGTGGGCCAGGAGAGGCACGGCCTCTGAGTTGGGTAGAGGCTTCCCACAAAGGCCTGGGAACCTGATCCTGGCCGTAAATCTGAAAGTACCACAGCCCTCAGGAGAACCAAGAGATAGGGAGGCAGGCTGGGGAAATGTCATCAATGTGCACCCAGGCGTGGTGGAGCTGGTCAGCCCCAGCTGGAGTGGGACCCCATCAAGATGGAGCCTTTCCTGGCACCTCCGGGAGGCCGTTTTGCGTTTCCGCCCTTCATGCATCTGAAACACCAAGGGCCATGTTCCTTCTGGTGCTTGTCCTTTTGAGCTTGGTGTTTCAGCCGTGTCTGTTTTGTAGACTTTGATTTTGTCTTAAATGAGAAAGAAAGCTGGTGAAGGTTATTTCAAAGTTAAATAGCTAGTCTGAGGGGCTTATCACTGAAGCCAGTTGTGCTTATGTGGGGTGGGAGTGTCACTGCCTACTTGAAAGTATGCACTTGTGTGGAACAGATTCAGGGTGGCCCCTAGCACTTGGGGCTGCGGGAGCTTCTGCACACTTTCCCTTTAACGGTAAAGAGACAAGCTTGGAGTGTTTAAGTGGTTCGTTCAGGAGCACAGTGATAGCGGTGACAAAGGAGATTTGAACCCACGTCTGCGTGGCTCCAAAGTTCACTCTTTCATCACTCCCTGCTGCGTCCTTCTTGAGGCTTTAGCATTTTTAGTGTGTTTTGTGCCCCCAGACCTCAGAGTTGACATTTAGCAGTGATAAACTGCTGTAAATCCAAAGAACGTTTAGTGTCTCTTGTGGTGAGGTCCTGAAATGATTGTTGTATTAGTCAAACAGAATGATCATGGAGCATGTATGGAGATGTCAGATGCAATCCCTGTATTGTAAGGCAATGACATTTAATGAAGGATAAGATGAATTCACAGATAACTAGAACTCAGGGCCAAACGCACACAGCCTGTAGCAACAGTGTCATGCTGAGATTTAAAGGAAGAAGAGGTGCCGTGGCAGAACTCCACGTGACCGTCCCCTCCCTGCACGCAGCCAGGATGAGAGGAGCAGAGCTGAGCGCCACCTCCCTGTCGGTGCCACGGCTGAGGTGAGGAGCTCTTGCCGGATGGTGGGGTGGGGGCAGCAGGGCAGATTGAAGTCAGGGATTCTCTTATACCTGAGTTTGGAATGCCTCCTATTCAAACAAAGCAAAATATCTAACAGATGGTTGGATATGAGTCTCAGGGAGGAATTCAATTTGAAAAGCACAGAATTAACATGTATTGCTTATATGAAGAATCTCAGCTAGAATAACAAGGTCGGATGGGAGGAATCAGGACTGATTTGAAGCACGATTTACTAAATCATTCTTTCCTTTTCCTCCTTAGCAGATCATACCGCCAGCTGCTTAACACGTAATAGTTTAATAAATTGTTTCTTCTTACCTCTCAGTGAGGGTAAGCACATGCAGGGAGATGGGTGAGTCTTTTAAATGGATAGTGTCATCTCTGATGATCAGCCTTGACAGGGAGAGATCCTAGTAAAGCTGCAAATTCAGGCACTCAGTTCCCAGCCCTCCAGTTATCAAGGGGGTGGGAACGCTGGTGGGCTGGAAAATGTGGAACAGACCTGCTCCTCTTCTTTTCCTGCCAATTACCGTATTCATAGAAGGTTGTGTCTGTGGATCACACCTGTGTGTGTGCTGATGGCGGATGCTTGTGTAGCATAGTGACTTGGGACAAAACAGCATGGTAGATGAGGCTGGAGACGGGTGGGCTAAGTAAACAGGCATTGCATTGCACATTTTGTGGGCAAAGAAGTTGAAGCATCGCATGATTTTAACAAATTACTTGCCAGATGATTTCAACACACTGCAAAATTTAGAATCAATAATGCCAAATTGGCCACATGATTTATATAAAACCAAGTGCTATGGTTTTAATATTATCTTTAGAGGAGAAACCATTTTGATCTGTGTCCAAATAACTCTTTTTTTTTTTTTTTTTTTTGAGACAGAGTCTCACTCTGTCGCTTGAGCTGGAGTGCAGTGGTGCTATCTCGGCTCACTGTAACCTCCGCCTCCTGGGTTCAAGCGATTCTCCTGCCTCAACCTCCTGAGTAGCTGGGATTACAGGCACCCGCCACCACGCCCAGCTAATTTTTTGTATTTTTAGTAGAGACGGGGTTTCACCATGTTGGCCAAGCTGGTCTCGAACTCCTGACCTCATGATTTGCCTGCCTCAGCCTACAAAAGTGCTGGGATTACAGGCGTGAGCCACCGTGCCCAGCCCCCAAATAACTCTTGAACTGGAAAATAACTCTTTAGCTATATACTGGCAGAATATTTGAACAACTCTAGCAAGAAATGTCAGTTTAGGGATGCCTCCTCTAAATGGGGGCTTAGAATATAACATTTTGCAGGAAGTCCTTTCTGATACATAGCTGACTAGATGAAGGACCAGATTAACAAGTTCATGAGTTGTAAATATAAAAGTTGTGTACCACGATAAAAAAGAAAAAGAAGTATGGCTGCACTGTTGATGGCTGGTCAAACAGCCCCCAAGAATCCTGGGGTGACTCCAATACTGCCACCTTTTCTCTGTGGGTGCAGTTGCCTGCGGATGTGTGTGCACATCTGTGCCTCGGTATGCACACTCGAGATGCCCGCTCTCATAGACGGTGCAGAGCGTCACTGCATTCCTATCTGATTAATGTGACCTTAGTGTTGTAGATACACTGTGTCACTTTCATCCTCCCTCCTCCCCACAAAAGATGCCACGAGAACTCGTGAACTGTGATAAGCAATGAACAGAATAACTGTTGAAGAAGCACCTCATGAACCTCCCCAGAGAAACGGGATGGAGGAGCACCCAGGGTGCTCTTGCTCTCTTGCCTGCGCTGCCATTTCCTTCCAGCCTGGGTTTCTAGCTCTTTGGGGAGATTCCCCGTTTTGTGGAATGCTTTCTGTGTTTCCTACTTCTGGATGCCTAAGGAGTGGCCAGTCATACTCCTGGCTGACCACTGCCAGGCACCGTGGTTTTCCTCACTGAACTCAAGGAGTCACCCTCCGTGGGGAGGCCACACTCACAGCTCCAGGCCTGCCATTTAGCCCTTGGGGCTTGGCTGTAAAGTTGCCCAAGAGGATTACAGGAGCTGCCAGCCAAGTTTAATTTGGCCACCTTAGAGAACTGCAGCAAGGCCCTATCAGCTTCCCATTAGACAAACAACTGCATTTAAATTAAATAAAGTTTGCACCTCTAGGGAGTGCTGACCTGAAAATAAGAACCTTCTGTCTGTGATTATAGAGTACACTTGCTTTTATTAATTGCTGATTCTTAGTTTACAAAAAAAAAAATTAGAAAAGCATTACCATTTACTTTCCAAGGGGCAAGAGATTCTCTACAATACCCTTCCCCCAACCCTCTCCTCAAATTTCCAAATCCTAAATACTTTGAAGAAATTTGTGTGACTGTTTAAAATTGAGTATTTCCTTCTAACTATTGTCTTTTGAAAAGGGATGGTTCACCAGGCCAGTGATACTCTATGGACTGCATTTTGGGACCTCTACCCCAGCAAGGATACAGGTTCCTGGGGTCTTGAAGATGGGAAAAGTTGTCTCAGAATTTACCCAAATGTCGTTCTCACCATAAAAGATATACTTGTAGAAATGAGAAGCTTCAGTATAACTCAAAACACTGGACGCAGCAATAACTATAAACATTTTAATTTCAAAAACAAAGGTGTGTGCGATGTTGTGTGCACAGTAAGGGTTGCGGGGCTTGGAGAACAAGCACGCGTCCCTGTGAAGCCCGCAGGGTGCTGGCGGCCCACCAATCGCCTGGACTACAGTGAGGAGCATTGTGTGACTCCGCGGTGGATTTCCATGCACCGAATGGACTCAGTTTCTAAACTCACATCCTAACGTATCCTGGCTTTTCACAGAATACTGGAGACATGACTGCATGCATGATCACGGTTCTTGTTGTGAAGCTGCCACCATGTTACGCTTAACAGCTGCATAAATATTATAAAGAAATAGGGTTTTCTTGACACTTAGATTTAACCTTAATGCATCTGCCCAGCTGATGGTATCAGACGTGCTGCTGTTCATTTCTTTTTCATGGTAACAGTAATGTATAAAGTGCCGATGATGTAACATGCAGTTGTCTTATTTTCATCAGGGCATTTGTTTCATGGCTCTGTTGAGTTGTTTTAAGTTAGTGAATGGCTTTTGAGATTTCAGATTCTGGAACATGTGTGGTGCTGTCCGCGGTGTGCCGCTCTGGGCAGCGCTGTGCCTGGCCAGGGAGGTGTGGTGTGGCTTCTTTGTTGCTTTTTTTTGTTTCCCCATCATGTGAGGTTTTTTTGTTGTTGTTGTTTGATTTTTTTTTTTTTTTTTTTTTTTTTTTCAAAAACCTGAGATCAGTTCTGTGTTCTGGAACAGCTCTCCTTTTCCACAGGAGGAGTCCCTCATGGATCGCGGTATTGGTTGGTTGTGGTGATTTGGGGAGCACGAGGGAGAGCAATGCAGGTGGGAGGTGTGGGGGAGCCAGCCTCCCCGCCCGGCCGCACGCCCGTCACTGCTCGTCTGACACACTTTGCTGCGAGGCCGTGTCGTCCAGGCCCATGTCCTCCTGGCTTGCTCTCCTGCAGACAACCCCGAGAGTGTCCGCCACAGCCTCAGCCAGACATCGGTCATGAAGCTGCCCCTGCTCGGTGGCATCAGGGGGCTCACATGGCTCGGAGAGGTGCTTCCAAAGAGAAGAGAGAAACAGTGAACAGCTCAGCAAACGTTCACTACCCACTTCTAACTGGCATCACCCCCATCCGTGCTGTGGGAGCTAAAGGCTAGCGCTGCCATATCCTTGAGGTCAGGTTCTAAAGTCAGGTCAAATGATAGAGGGCCAGCACAGTGGCCTCTGAGGACAGGACGGGCAACTGAAGCAGCATCTGAGACACAGGGGCTCTGCACGTGGGCCTTTCTGGATGACTGCGCTGGAAAGAGCGGCCCTGGGGGGAAGGGGCATTTGTGCGCCTGGCTTTCTAGCTGTAGTCAGTGTCACTTCATGCACACTTAGCCCCTGTCATGAATGCTGAGTTCTAGCAGGCTTGACCCCAGTAGAACACAGAGGCCATTGTATTCTGGGGGCATGTGGTCCCTACGACAATTGTCCATTTTGGAGAGCAGGAAGGAGAATTTGACAGAATCCCAGAACTACACCCATAGATTGTGACTTTAACACAGATTGGGGCATGGAGAAGGGTGATACTTTGTACATTTTTATTGAGGAAATAAAGAAAAGGGAGGGGAAATGTATTCTTTTAGTTATCTAACTAAGGTCAAACTCCTGAAGTAACCACCTCTTTCCTCTTGGCCAGGACAGCCTGGGGGTTCCAGGAAAGCCCATAAATCTCCCCTTCCATGAAAGGTGGCACCCATGGCTGCAATCCTGTGGCTCCTTGTAGGGCGGCCGGCCCAGCCTTGGCTTCCCCTGGCAGGAAGGTACTTCCCTGGAGAGCTGTTTCCCATGAAGGAGAGGGAGGGTGACACTAGAAATGTTCAGGTGCAGCCCCCCGTCTCCACCTGCAAATAACCTCACCCAGAACCAGAGGCCAAGCCACTGCAACTCTGGTGCTTGATGGAAAGCATGAGCCATGGTAAGGAAAACCTGAACACTCAAAAGGAGTGGGGGAACTCTCCAAACCTGACCCATTTTTGCCTTGACACCATCGATTTTCCCTGTCTACCAGGTCACATAGGAGCACTGCTGGGTATTTATTTACTTTTTTCTCACTGAAGAAGCTCAAGTATTCATTTCATCTCAGCTGGTTTGGGATTCTGGACAAGTAACAGCTTATTTGGGTGAAGTCCTTAGAACTCTCCTTGTCTAGTATTTAAATACCTAAAAGCAGTGGGCCATCTCAGCAGCTTTAAAGTCAAATCGATTGGCTGAGAAGCAGTGAAGCTCTAACTCCAGCATTGACAGGTGTCCTTTCCTCTCCCTCAGGCCAGAATCATGTGAGAAGAGTCCTGCTGTGTGAATGGGTGGAGGGCATTCTCCGTCATGCCCCGGTGTAGGGCAGATGGCCACAGTTCTGCAGAACCTCTGTATCCGGTGACTCCTTTCAGTGCCTGCCTGGGCATTATCGTTTACAGGATATCTGCTCTGTATCTTGTCTGCTTTCAAGAGCAGCTAAGCCACTTCGTGTCTAATCACTGTCCTTTGTCACTCTGGGAGCCCCATAGAGAAGGGGATGGGGTTCTGCAGGCAGAAGGGTGGGAACGCAAGGCAGGTGCCACGCTCAGGCCAGGAGCCCGTGCCACCATCCCAGCCTGTCCTGGTGAGCCCTGCCCAGCCCCTTACCCGAGTGGCCTGGCTGGCAGCCCTGGCTGAGGGGCCCATCACGATGTTGACGCTGCTGGATGACTGGGTGTCACTGGTATTGCCCCCCTCCGCAGCAGAGAGTCCGGAAATGACGAGCGCGCTGGAAAAGCTCCTCTTGCCGAAGAGGAAGCTCAGGGTGGAGCTGGTGGAGGAGCCCAGGCTGGACCTGATGAGCGCCTCGGCCCGCTCACGGACACTCAGGTGGCCGGTGGTGGTGACGGGCGGGGGCTGAGAGTGCAGGGACGTGGCCGAGGCGTGCAAGGAGAGCCGGCTGCCCGAGAGCCTCTGGGCCAGCTCGTGCACTGAGGTGGACGTCTGGAGGAATGTTTGGCGGCTCTCTAAGATGGGGCCAGATGAGCTCAGCATGGGCGGCCTTTGGCTTAGCGCTGAGTGTGCCTGCACGGACTGGCTCCTGCCTTTCCTCCTGCCTTTAAAAGAAAGCAGAACACAGAGTTGTAGCGGGTGGGTCATGAACATCGATACCTGTGTGGTGCAGCAGGTGGCCTGCTCTGCCTGGGCCCAAGGACCCCTCCTCAGTGCACCACCTGCAAGGCTGGGACAAGAGCTGGAAGCCTGACCACTGCCTCACCCACTCCCTCCCGCCAAGTCCAGGTCCTGAGAACCAAAGGGCCGACTGAAGGGCACCCAAGGGTGGGGGCTGGGGTTGGGGGTACAGTGTGAGAAGCTGCAGCCAGGGTGACAGATCTGCTCAGTTTGCCAGGACATTCCTGGTTCTAGCACTGAAAAGTCCCACATGCCTGGAAGCTGCTTACTTCAGGCGAACCAGGACAATGCCAGCAGCAGAACTTGGGCTCATAAAGTAAACCCAAATATGATCCTGGCTCAGGACCTTGGTTCCCATGCTCATCCGATCAGCAGTGATAAAGGAAAACGTGCAGGGTTCTGTCATTTTTATTTGCCATGAAAAAAGAAGAAAGGGGAGGAGAGCTGAAAGCCCATGCCCTCGCCTCTTTTCCAGAATAGCTTTCCCTTACAGGCCCGCAACTACTGGCCAGGCCTGGGCCTTGCTTCCCATGCTCTTCTCAGCCAGCCCCTTTGCCCACTGCCTCGCCCCTCAGGGGCCCTGCCACCCCAGCCTTTGCTGAAACTTGTCTAGACAAGGCCATTTTTGACAAAAGGGACTGGACTACCCCCAAAGATGTGGTTGTGTCCATGCTGCTGGAAGCAGGATAACTTCATGGGGTCTTCTGTGCGTGATGGCCCTGTGCAGCCTGTGGTTCAGCTTTGCAGTCTAAGCAGTCTGAGGAAATGGGTGCTGGCTAGAACACCGGGTTGCTTAACTTGAGCATCCATGATCACTAGGGGCTAATTGCAAAATATCATTTTGATGGGAGCAGCTAGTGACATCATGGTTCTATGAACGGCATCATGGGCATATCCCTGCAGCTGCTACAATTAGGCATTAAATAAAGACAAACAAGGGGGCGGAGGCATGAGTATCAGAAAGGACGTCCTATGCATTGCCTTGTGTTCCACCTCACCCCAAATGCCCATTATTCATTATGCATCTGGTGATTGTGAAGCGGGCGTGGCTGCCTCCAGGAGAACCCAAGAACTGACACATCATGTGAGAGGCAATTCCTTAGGGATACACATTACGAAGGGGATTCCAGGGTTCCTTCCAGCCCCACCCCACCCCACCGTGGCCTAGGCTGAAGGGGCCTTTCTGCCTCCTGTTGACCACAGTGCCAGTTTGGATGCTGTGATGGTCGAGTGCCCATTTGCAGAGGGCACTGGTGCTCCCATCTCACTTTCTCCTGCCCGTGTGTTGACAGTAAGGAGCGCTCGCCCCACAGTGCTGGGGGCTTCCGCAGGACGGGGCTGCCCTCCCTGGGATGAGTGTGCTCAGCCCCTCGCATGGGGCCCACCCGCCTCTGCTGCAGGAGGGGTGCATTCGGGCCGGCCTGAAAGGTCCCGGCTGAGTAGTTGAATATATTCCTCTTACAGAGAAAAAGGAGAGGAGGAAAGGGACCCTGATGAATCAGAATGAAAAATAAGGAGGGCGATTTGTTAGTTTATTCAGTGTCTGGCAAGGCCGGACGTGTGTTTGTGATTTCTATCGTAAAGCTGATCACTGTCCAAAAATACTCCACATTTATCCACAAGTCAGTGATTGTGATGCTCAATAGAAGACCACCCATACTTGGTGGGGAACTTCCTAGAGAATTCCAGGAACAAGGGGACAAATAACCCACTGTGTGTCAAAGGGAAGTGGCCTGCTGTAGTCTGTGCAAGACAAGGACTCCCCCGCCACCCGATTTCATTGCTTCAGGTTTTCTCATTGCTCTTTTTTTTTTTTAATTAATTTTGCAAATGGAACAGCACTAAGGAAGCAAACCATGCTAAATGCATTTGTGCTACTCAAGATCATTATTTTACAATTTAACTTATTTTGCAAATAACTCTATTACCAAGTTATGAATGTTTCTAGGGAAAACCTTTTTAGAACCTGAATGGAAATACCTTACATATAAATCACCCTCCTTGGTTTATTATCGTGGCACTTAATTCCTTTGTCTTTGATGTTATCTGAACAATCGTGGTGTAGCTCCTTAGTAATATGAGAACACAGCCTCCCTCTCCAATCTGGGATTCGGATTAGTTATGAATTCCTAACTGCTCACCAGTAAGTAGGTCACCAGCCTCCACTGCTAGGCCAACTCCCCTTCCAGCTGTGACATATGCTTTTTACCCCAGCAAGACGTTTGCAGGTTGTCAGGACCTAGATGAGGCTGGCGTAGTGAGCGCCTGGCAGCTGGGTGCAAAGTGCTGTGTGCACCAGCAGCAGCAGATGCACAGCGTGGCTGGCCTGGGGAGAGGAGTTCTGTCTGTGAGGTCTCAGGCAGGAGGGACCCCAGTCCGCTCAGCCTCTAGCAAGGGCTCAGGATTGGGATACCTGACCAGAATTGAGGCAAGGACCAACGAAGGGTGGGGGCAGTTGGGTCCCCAGTTATGTGAGTTGAGTCTTGGTGACTTGGTGAGTAAAACAAGACCCTTGTTAGAATTTGTTTCAAATTCGCCCTTCAAAACTGCTCACTCGGCCGGGCACGGTGGCTCACGCCTGTAATCCCAGCACTTTGGGAGGCCGAGGCAGGCAGATCACGAGGTCAGGAGATCGAGACCATCCTGGCTAACACGGTGAAACCCCATCTCTACTAAAAATACAAAGAATTAGCCAGGCGTGGTGGCGGGCACCTGTAGTCCCAGCTACTCAGGAGGCTGAGGCAGGAGAATGGCGTGAACCCAGGAGGCGGAGCTTGCAGTGAGCCGAGATAGCGCCACTGCCGTCCGGCCTGGGTGAAAGAGTGAGACTCCGTCTCAAAAAAAAAAAAACTGCTCACTCTTTGCTACTTGGCTAAGGGTCTCTGTCATGCCCTTCCCAGAGAGGCAGGTCCTCCACTCTGAGAGGCCCCCAACCACCTCTCCAATGGCACTCAGCACACTGTGTTGTCACTGTCTGATGCACGGTCCTCTCCACTATGTGCCCTTTCTGCAGCAAAGGACCCCTGTATCACTTCTATGAGCTCAGCACCCAGTACACTAACATGTAAGTAAAGGATACACAGGACAAACCTGCAAAACTGACCAGATGCCAAAACGCTGATTAGAAATCCAGTGAGCTTCAGAAAGTTCGGGGTGGGTACAGTGTTTCTTAAACTTGGCCATTAGAAGCATTTCAAAAAATTAATCAATATCTTGACTAGAGGCTGAGACCCATAGGCAAGCGCCTGTAGATGGGCCCAAGGGGCTGCCACTGCAGACTGGAGGGCAAGCTAAAGGTTAGGAAAATAGGAAGGTGATTCCTCCATACTTCCAGGGTCAAGTCCAAAGATCTGGGATCAGGGAATGTTCTCCCCATAGCTGGAGACTGGCCTCTAACGCCCCTGCACTGGCCAAGCAGGTCTCTGGCTTCCTTTCTGGGAGCTGTGTGTCTCAACTCGGACGGGCATGGTTGTTTTACTTAACTAGAAGGAGGGTGAGAAGGAGGCCAGAGACTGAAATCAAATCCAGTTATCCTCACATCCCTGAAGGGAATGATGGCCTGCTGGGAATGGCAGGTAGGTGGTTTCCGCAAAGTGTCCCGGGCAGGGCCAGGCAGAGCCGCCCCTCCCGTTGTGGTAGCCTCCTTCTTGGGCTTGCTCTCCTTGGAACCTGGGCTACCTGCACACTGGGTCTCAGGTGCAGTGTCTTGAGGGGAATGAAAGCTCTGTGCTCCCGGTCGCAGTCAGTGCTAGAGAGCCTTCTGGATAGTTGAATCACATCTTGGAGGGATTCTGGCCGGGGGATTGGGGCACCAAGGTCATGATGGTACATTTCAGGAGAGCCAACAAGATCGGCAGCTCTTGGCTCCACTGCTCTTGGCTGTGACAGAACCTGCCTACAGCTGCAACTCTGAGACCCAAGGGCTTTGCACCCTCGCCCTCTAGGGAAGCTGTAGTGTAAGTGGCTGAGGCCAGGAGGGGTAACCATCCACTCATTCGTCCAACCTTTGTCTGCTGAGCCCAGATCATGCTTACCACCCAGCCCAGCACCTCAGAGGTTTCCCTTGGTGGCCCCTGCAGCCGTCTCTGTCCCCACAGGGCCAGGAAGCTGTGGAGACAGGAGCACGTCAACCAGCTCCCACCCACTCCTGCTTGGCCGTGTGCTGGGTTCCCAGGACTCCAGAACTCCCTGCCCCAAACTGGGGCCTGCACAGGCCTCTTCCCCAGGGTCGTCTCCCAGGGCGGACCTTGGGCCTACTTGCAGGCACGTGCACCCCCAGACGGGCATGTGAATGGGGAGGCTCCAGTGCATGCAGGCAGCCCCTCACCTGGCAGGATGTGGGGAGAGTGGGGAAGAGGGTGGTGTGGTCTTCACATGTGCTCCTGTCACAGGCTCTGCAGAAGTTAGGGCTGCCCACCTGAGCGTCCACCGTGGGCTGCACTGTCCTAGGTGCCGGGCAGTGAGCAGCTCATGGGAAATTCTGACCACAGACAAGGCACATGCATCAGGCAGGGATTGGAGGGGAGGAGAAAGTGGGGCAGGGGGACAGCAGTGCTGTATGGAAGGCTGGCCAGGGTCTCTTGGATAAGCTGGGATTTGATGGGAGGCTGTGTGAGTAAGCGAAGGAGCTGCAAGCCTGGGAGAGGGACACTGGGGACAGAGGAGGCAGCAGCTGAGGGGGCCCTGGAAAGGAGAATGCTTGACACTGTTGAGGGACAGCAAGAGACCGTGTGCTGGGGATGTGGGCTCATAAGAGAGGGCTGAGAGAAGGGAGAGAAGGCGTGAGAGAGAGAGCAGACCAGATGGGGGCCTGCGGGGGAGGGGTGCTCATGGGATGCGCGTGGGTGTTCCGGGCTGAATCATGTTCCCTCCCCAGACTCCTCTGTTGAAGCCCTAACCCCCAGGACCTCAGGGTGGGGCCTTACTTTGACACAGGGTCGTTGCAAATGTCATTAGTTAAGATGAGGTCATACTGGAGTAGGATGGGCCCTGAGTCCATGATGACCAGTGTCCTTATAAAAAGGGGACGTGTGGACACAGAGAAGTACAGGGAGAACATGATGTGAAGACCAAGCCAGAGCTCAGTGGTGCTTCTCGAGGCCGGGGGATGCCTAAGATGGCCGGTGAACCACCACAAGCTAGGGAAGGGTCCTGGACCCCACTCCCCTCCAGCCCTCAGGAGGAACCAAGCCTGCCCACACCTGGATCTCAGACTTCCAGCCTCCAGAACTGGCAGACAGTAGGTTCATGCTGTTTAAGCCACCTGAGCCATGGTACTTTGTCATGGCAGCCCAAGCAGACTCACACATTCTGAGCTGAAGCCATCATTCAACAGAAGAACAACGTGAACTGATTTAAGTTTAAATAAAATCACTCTGACTTGCTTTGTGGAGATTTACGATTTTGTGTGTTGTCGGAGCTGCACGAAAGACCAGGGAGAAAAAGCAAGAGAGATGATAGCAAGAGAGAGGTTTTTCCTTCTTTTAAGTGGGAAAGGGGTAGCAGGCCTTGTTCAATCTCCCCTGTCTTCTTCCAGCTCTCTGACCCTCTGCTGGGGATAAAAGCCTTGGCATAGCTTCCTAGGCTGCAGTGCCTTCTTTCCTCAGCATGTCAGCTCCTTGAGCCAGAAAGGTACTTGAGACAGTCCCTTGCTCTGCTCCTGTCCCTCCCTGACCACAGTGAGAAAGTAAAGGAGCCCCTGCTGGCTGCTTCAGAAAGAACTGGGTGTCAGCTTTGCCTGCTCGTGGGGCCAGAAGGAAGATCACTTATAAGTGGAACCCTTGCCAGCCAGGGGACAGGACAAAGTCATGCTGGGCAGAGACATGCCAGCTGCACAGATGGAGGGCAGGAGGCAAGGGCGGCACACTCAGTGTTCAGTAATGCTTGTTTCCATCAACTCATTCCCAGGGCTGGGGACAAGGACATTCGAAGCAGCATCCCTGGGGCCAGGACAATGGGATGGTGCAAGGTGGCTGAGATCACAAGTTCTGGGGCCAGCTCACCTGGGAATGAATCTCAGACTGGCCACTGCCTGGCTGGGTGACACTGGGCAGTGACTTAAGTTTTCTAGGCCTCTGGTCTCCACCCAAATTTGATCTTGAATTGTAATCCCCATGTGTTGAGGGAGAGACCTGCTGGGAAGTGAATGGATCATGGGGGCATGGTTCCCCCAGGCTGTTCTTGTGATAGTGGGTGAGTTCTCACAAGAGCTGATAGTATTAAAGTGTGGCACCTCCTTGGTCTCACTCTCTCCTGCTGCCATGTAAGACACACCTTGCTTCCCCTTCGCCTTCTGCCATGATTGTAAGTTTCCTGAGGCCTCCCCAGCCATGTGGACCTGTGAGTCATTTAAACCTTTCTTTATAAATTACCCAGTCTCAGGTTGTATCTTTATAGCAGTGTGAAAATGGACTAATATGGAGAATTGGTACCAGCAGAGTGGGGTATTACTATAAAGATACCTGAAAATGTGGAAGCAACTTTGGAACTGGGTAATAGGCAGAGATTGGAACAGTTTGGAGGGCTCAGAAGAAGACAGGCAGATGAGTGAAAGTTTGGAACTTCCTAGAGACTTGCCGAATGGTTTTGACCAAAATGCTGATAGTAATATGGACAATAAAGTCCAGGCTGAGGAGGTCTCAGATGAAGATGAGAAACTTTTTGGGAACTAGAACAAAGATCACTCTTGCTGTGCTTTAACAAAGAGACTGGCGGCATTTTATCCCATCCTAGAGATCTGTGGAACTTCGAACTTGAGAGAGATGATTTAGGGTATCTGTTGGAAGAAATGTCTAAGCAGCAAAGCATTCACAAGGTGACCTGGCTTATTCTGAAAGTGTTCAGTCATATTTGTTCATGAAGAGATGGTTTGGAAGTACAACTTATGTTTAAAAAGGAAGCAGAGTATAAAGGTTTGGAAAATTTGCAGCCTGACGATGGAGTAGAAAAGAAAAGCCCATTTTCTGGGGAGGAATTCAAGCTCGCTGCAGAAATTTGCATAAGTAACAAGGAGCAGAATGTTAGTAGCCAAGACAATGGGGAAAATGTCTCCAGGGCATTTCAGAGATCTTCACGGAAGCCCCTCCCATCACAGGCCTGGAGGCCTAGGAGGGAAAAATGGTTTCATGGGCTGGGCCACGGACCCCACTATTCTGTGCAGCCTCTGGATTTGGTGCCCTGCATCCCAACCACTCCAACTCCAATGTGGCTAAAAGGGGCCAAAGTACAGCTTGGGCCATTGCTTCAGAGGGTGCAAACTCCAAGCCTTTGCTGCTTCCATGTGGTGTTGGGCCTAAGAGTGTGCAGAAGACAAGAGTGGAACTTTGGGAACCTCTGCTTAGATTTCAGAGGAGGTATGGAAATGCCTGATGTTCAGGCAAAAGTCTGCTGCAGGGGCGGAGTTCTCATGGAGAACCTCTGCTAGGGCAGTGCAGAAGGGAAATGTGGGGTTGGAGCCCCCAGAGTCCCACTGGGGTACTGCCTAGTGGAGCTATGAGAAGAGGGCCACCATCCTCCAGATCCCAGAAAGGTAGATACACTAACAGCTTGCACTGTGCACCTGGAAAAGCTGCAAACACTCAACACCAGCCCATGAAAACAGCTGCAGGGACTGTACCCATGCAGAGCTGCCCAAGGCATTGGAAGCCCACCTCTTGCACCAGTGTGACCTGGACATGAGACATGGCATTGAAGGAGATTTTGGAGCTTTAAGATTTAATGACTGACCAGCTGGGTGTTGGACTTGCATGGGGCCTGTGGCCCCTTTGTTTTGGCTAATTCCTTCCATTTGGAATGGGGACATTTACCCAATGCTTGTTCCCCCATTGTATCTTTGAAGTAACTAACTTGTTTTTGATTTTACAGGCTCATAGGTGGAAGGGTCTTGTCTTGTCTCAGATGAGACTTTGGATTTGGACTTTTGAGTTAATGTTGGAATGAGTTAAGACTTTGGGGGATGGTTGGGAAGCATGATTGGTTTTGAAATGTGAAAGGGCATGAGATTTAGGAGGGACTAGGGGCATAATAATATGGTTGAGCTCTGTATCCCCACCCAAAAAAAATCCCCATGTGTTGAGGGAGGGACCTGGTGGGAGGTGATTGGATCATGGGGGTGGTTTCCCCCAGGCTGTTTTTGTGATAGTGAGTGAGTTCTCATGAGAGCTGGTGGTTTTAAAGTGTGGCACTTCCTCACTCTTGCTCTCTCCTGCCACCATGTAAGATGTGTCTTTCTTCCCCTTCACGTTCCACCATAATTGTAAGTTTCTTGAGGTCCCCCCAGCCATGCAGAACTGTGAGTCAATTAAACCTCCTTCCTTTGTAAATTACACAGTCTCAGGTAGTACCTTTGTAGCAGTGTGAAAACAGACTAATACATTCAGTTTCTTTATCTGCAAGATGAGGAGGGTGAAACTGCCTGCATCTCTAAAAGCCATGGTGAGGATCCAGTGAATGTGCACATGAAAGTACTCAGGATGGTGTTGGTAGAGTAGAACCTGAGAACTGTTACTGTTATCAAATTTTATCACCTGCAGCAAGGATGCTGTGAATACACCGGGGGGCAGAGAAAGAGCAGGGTGGCAGCAAGGCAGGTGAGTTCAAAGCAGCTGATGCTTGGCCCAGGGCTTCATAAATCTCCCCAACCCTCCATCCCCCTAAGCAGGACAACAACTGGTCTCAGAGCCTGGGACAAACTCAGGCTGCAGGTGTGGCCAAGGCATGTGGTGTGTGGGGTATTTAGCCAGGCATGCTCCTTTGCTTGTAAAATGTAGAAAGCCAGCGGTGGCCTTGGCAGGAAGTTTTAAGAAGCATTCATGAGAAATTAACAGCTGGTTTAGGCTTTAGTAGATCCTGCTCCAGAGTAAGCGTGTCATTTAAATATGTGGAGGTAGATGCCCCAAAAATACAAAGCAGCTGCAAGAGTTGGAAGCAGTAACCTCTGAGAATTAGGAATGTTGCTGGGGGGTGAAGGGGGGAAACCCATGATTTTTGTTTTAATCCAGGCAGTCCTTTTTGAGTTTTAAACTATGCTGATTGTATAGTTTGATTATTAAATTTTAACTTAAAAATCCAATTTAAAAAAAAAGATCCTGCTCTGACATCTTCCACAAACGGGAAGCTGTGATTGCTCCTGTAAATGCAAGGAATGCTCACTGCCTATGGTGTTCGGACTCCAGGGAGTGGAAGGAACACCAGCTCTTCCAGGCAAGGCCAGTTCCAGGTGCTGTTTTATAGGAAGAAAGGGAAGAAGGTGTTTCCAATTTCTTCCCCCTCCTCTCCCCCCACCCAGGCTGGAGTGCTGTGGCGTGATCTCGGCTCACTGCTACCTCCGCCTCCTGGGTTCAAGGGATTCTCCTGCCTCAGCCTCCCAAGTAACTGGGATTACAAGCACCCACCACCACACCTGGCTAATTTTTTGTTGTATTTTTAGTAGAGATGGGGTTTCACCATGTTGGCCAGGCTGGTCTTGAACTCCTGACCTCAAGTGATCCTCCCACCTCAGCCTCCCAAAGTGCTGGGATTATAGGTGTGCACCACAGCACCCGGCCTCCAATTTCTTTTCTGCCAAGCTTCAAGAAACCAGGTCTGAAGCACTTCTGGAACCCCCACCTCTGACCCCTGTCTCTGACCCTGCCCACCCCGCAGCCACACCCCCCTGACTCTGGACTTTCTCCAGTCCACACAAGTCACCTGGAAGTACTGGCAAATGACAGATGCTTAGGCATTTCACCATTTGGAAGCTACTTTGCATTTCCCCACCTGGAAAGTCACTCCCATGATCCTGAAACACATTTTTCATGTGATAAGAAATGTTAACTAAACAATGAGATACTGGAGGCCTGGGAGCTGCATGGGAGGCCTCCAGCAGGTGTCCTGCAGGGCCTCAGAGTAAACAGCATGGGGTGGGTGGGGCAGGGGGAGATCTTTTTTCCTTTCTTTTGAGCAGCGGATACCACCTATTTTGTCTATTTACCTATCTATCTACCTACCTAGCTTTCTTTCTGTCCTCTATCAATCAGTCCCTATCTACCTATCTAGCATCTGTGGAAGGAAAATAAAATCTCCCCAAACTCATATGCCAAAGGAAAAAGTCAAGCCTGGGAACTGAGACATGCAAAACTGTCTCCCTCCCAATTTGCTTGCAGAGAAATTCCTTGTGGGCCCCAAGATCTTTACTCTAAAACAGTTCTGTTAAATTTCACCCTGACAATGTAAATGAACAGCTTACCTTTACAAATGCGGGACAAAGATAGGACTAGGAGTCCTCCATCTGCTCACCTGAGACAAAGGCACACATGACTCCTTCTTCAACTCTATGTTTACTTTATGTAAAAATGCAGATCTGCGGAGCTGGACATGAATGTACAATTGACTGTTTCTCTACCTACGCTTTTTACATGTAAAATGTGGATTCAGTGAAGGTTGATGAAAGCCTCAAAGGCTGGTCACAGTGGTTGCAAAATACCCCTTTTCCTTATCCCCTGCCCCGCCTTTTTCCCCTATTGCCCATTCTTTCCCCTTTAAATAATGAAGTCCCCAAACCCTCTTTGGAAAAAGTAGCCACAGTTGGGTCTGTCGCTTGTGTCCTTTTTTCCTGGGCACCTCTTTAACCTTGGCAAAATAAACCTCTAAATTAATTGACAGCTGTCTCAGATACTTTTTGATTTATACATATATCCTCTCTTTCTCTCTCTCATATCTTGCTCATGTTTGCATACATCCTACTGTCTCTGTTCAATCCTCTGCCTTGCTCTGGGCACTCCCAGGAGGCAGGGACTGTAACTCCTGGCTCATTTGGTGCAGAGCTAGCAGGAGAAGCATGCACAGAGGCACTTATTAAACGCTTCTGGATGGTGAGGAAGAACTGAGGCCAAAAAGTAAAACCACTAACATGCTCCAGAGGGTAAAGCCAAGGACCAGCAGGAACCAGGGCAGAGCATCCATCTCTTTCATGTTCCCAGGACACTCATCCTCTGGATCTCCTTTTCTAGTCCAACCACCTCCTCCCCAGTGCAGACCACCAGTGGAGTTTTGGAACTTCATCCATCTGGTGGAGTATAACTATTTGGGTGTTAGTTTAAACATAATTTTAAACTTTAGACTCAGCCAGGCTTGGTTGCAGCCACCTCCTAGGTTCCTATCTGTGGGCACCCTTTCTGCCCTCTTTTCTTCTGCTCTGAAATGTCAAGTCTAAGTGGAGGAAGGTGAGAATCAGTGAGAAGCAGGAGAGGGAAGGCAGGAGGCCTGTTTGTGTGCCCCACGGACACTTGGAGAAGAGGGAGACAGTACATGGGCCAATAGCTACAACACAGCCAGACACAGAAGGCACACCATCAAACGGTCATAGAGTGAGAGACGGAAAGATGGAATGGAATGCAGCGACCCCTGGACAGGTGGACAGACAGATGAATGGCTGGCCAAGGTCATGGACAGATGGATAAATGGTAAAAGCTGAATCTAACAGATGGAGAATTGTTTTCCTGAGCAGAACCTACAAGAGTCTGCAAATTTCCGGCATCTATTGTCCCAATGCAAGAAGGTGCTCTCAGAGGTTTAAACAACATCATAACTCAGGGCATTGGTCACTGGGACCAAATAGGACTTCATCGATAGTTTGGAGGCCCCTGCTGCACCCACCTGTTCTCTGTGTCCCTTCACAGGATGACACCCCGTGCTGAGCACCGCCTTTTCTGGGCTGTTCTGCGCTGCTCTCCTGGCTGCCACCACTCGGGGCATTGTTGCCACCTGTCGTCGGGGCCCCTCCTCCGTCCACGTCTTCAATGTTGCCGCCACTGTGCTGGCGGGCATTGCAATCCTTCCGCATCCTGTGGGAGGGAGAAGTCCTTTGAGGATTCTCAGCAACACACTTCCAATCCCCCTAAATGCACCACCATGGCCTTGCCTAAATCGGGATCGAAGAGCGTGCTCTCCAGGTGAGTAGCCCACCTGGCATGCTGGTGGGAAGAGGGGCTGTTGTTCCCAAACCTCAGCATCTAATAAATGAACAGACTGCACCAGGATGAATGGGCTTCCGTCTCAACCTTCCATAAGAACCCTTAGCACTGAGGCTTGATAGGGAGCTCTGTCGTCTTCAGGCAAAACTTCTTAGAATTCATCCCAACTGATTACTACATCCAGGTAAGAAGACTTATTGGATGAGAAATGTGTGCTGGGGATGTTCTTCCAGTTCTTGCTAACAGATGTGGAATGGTTACTGCTAAAGACTCATAACCTTGGCAGCTCTGCAAGAACTCAGCCTGTGCAAATGTGGGGGAAAGAGATTCTCATCCATATGAGATTTTCCATGGATTCATAATCTGAGACTGCTTGCTGAAACAAATGATCTGTTCGATGCCACTTGGGGGTAGCAGTTTTAATCATATGAGAAAATGGTGGCTGACAGTGAAATCTGAACCAGGAGTACAGAGCTCCCTGCATCCCCCACACCTTCCCCCAGCATCTGGACAGAGGCATTTGTTGTAAAAACTTACCTTACCCACTTGGTCCAGAACCAGGTCCTAATTCTGTCCAAAGTGATGGGTCCACCCCAGATGTTCTTCAGCTGCCTGTGTGTCCCTAGGTAGGATGTGGTTAGTGGGGAGACATACATGGGGTACCCCAGGGGCTGATCGCAGGAGGAGTTAATCAAGTTCCGCAGGACCTGCTTATTGTTCTGGATACTGCCGCGCTCCGGATTGCGGTTGCGAAGAAATATAAGCTCCTGCTGCTGCCCGGCCCAAAGTCCTCGGACGCATTCTTTGTTAACCTGCAGGTCAGAGAGGGAACGGGAAGAAAGGCAGAAGGCCTGTGTTTTCCAGTCTATTGGTTTTTTCTTTTTCTTTTTTTTTTTTTTTTTTGAGATAGAGTTTCGCTCTTGTTGCCCAGGCTGGAGTGCAATGGTGCAATCTCAGCTCACTGCAACCTCCGCCTCCCGGATTCAAGCAATTCTCTTGCCTCAGCCTCCCGAGTAGCTGGAATTACAGGCATGTGCCAACACACCTGGCTAATTTTGTATTTTTTAGTAGAGACGGGGTTTCTCCGTGTTGGTCAGGCTGGTCTCGAACTCTTGACCTCAGGTGATCCACACGCCTCGGCCAATCTATTGGTTTTTAACTACAATGAGAGAGCAGGGCTCTGGGACTGAATATCTGTGACTACAAAACTTTGGTGTAAAGCTCTTTTCACAGTTAAGCCAGAAGAGCCATCCTGCAAGACGGATATGATGCCATCTTCATGGGGAAACTGAGAGAGAATGCAGAGAAAGTAGTTTTTGTTTTCACTTAGTGATTTGAAGCTATATGAAAAGAGGAGCCATTGGGAATAAGGCCTTCGGATCCAGGAATGGTTTATGAGAGAAAGGTGTGGGTTCTAGAGAATAAAAAGTCTTTACAAATAAGCTATATCCTGACTCTCACTTACATGTGTGTCTACTGGGTCTTCTTGGCAAAGTCTGTGTCTGTGTGCTGGCTCTGTGAGGTGGAGGGTGATCCTGCCAGGGGAACACAGCACCCAGCCTGGCACCATGCCCTGCCCCACTTGCCAGCCAGCGCTCCTTCCAGAACATCCCTCTGAACAGAGGATGCTGGCACAGAGACTCCTGTGTCAGTGCCCCCCTGCCCACCACCATTCTATTTCTTCTCAGATAGAGAGACACGAGCCAACAGGGGACCCAGAAAGTGTGGCCGCCATACCTTGATCACCTTGAAGCTCAGGAAGCTTCTGTGGAGCATGATGACCTTGTACTCGTCGGCACCCTCGTCCACCACGTGCCGCAGGGTGAGCAGCTCTTCCTTGTTGGACAGCACTGCGCCCCGCCAGGCCGGGTCGCCCTCGTGGCAGATGACCACCTTCTTCTCGAAGGACTGGATGGCCTCGTAGAGGACTGCTGGGTCTTCATACTCGTCAGGGCAAGTGAACTGGTCCTGGTGGGAAGAAGTGTGGGTGTGGGCTGGGCAAGGACCAGAGGAACTCACCCCCAGGAAGCATGCAGATGGCAACTGGCCAGTGACCTCCAAAGCTAAGCTCTTTCCTCATCTTCCTCTCTCCTGTTCTTTTTCCAAATCCTGAGCTCGGCACAGAGGACACCTCTTTATCTCATTGCCCTAACCAATGGAATGTGCCTAGAAAAGAGCTTCATGGCTTAGGTTCCTCTGACCTTTAGATATAGTTTTAGATATAGGTTGGGCACTTTTGCTAAGTCATTGTCTCTGCACAATACCCATCTTTCTTCTAGTGGAATATCACCACCTCCTAGCCTAGCTGCTCTTGAGGGCAAATCACCATTGGCTAAAGTCAAGACTATCTGGACGGCTTCAATGCTTAGTTACCTAAGTAATAAACCCACTTACAGTGCTGTGCAGAGAAAGGAGACCATATTTTTAAAGGCCATTTTTTCCCCTAAAGTTTCAGGCTGATCCTTTTTCTTTTTTTTTCCCCAAGAGACAGGGTCTTGCACTGTCACCCAGGCTGGAGTGCAGTGGCGCAATCATAGATCACTGCAGCCTGAAACTCCCGGGCTCAAGCTATCCTCCCACCTTAACCTCCCGAGTAGCTGAGCGATAGTTTTTTCTAAAAAAATAGGTTTGGCCAGGTGCAGTGGCTCACGCCTGTAATCCCAGCACTTTGGGAGGCTAAGGCGGGCAGATCACTTAAGGTCGGGAGTTCGAGATCAGCCTGACCAACATGGAGAAACCCCATTTCTACTACAAATACAAAATTAGCTGGGCATGGTGGCACATGCCTGTAATCCCAGCTACTTGGGAGGCTGTGGCAGGAGAATCGCTTGAACCCGGGAGGTGGAGGTTGTGGTGAGCCGAGATTGTGCCATTGCACCCCAGCCTGGGCAACAAGAGCGAAACTCCATCTCATAAATAAATAAATAAATAAATAAATAAATAAATAAATAAATAAAATAGGTTTTTACCTGGTGAAGTTTCAGGGACATCCTGATAGCTGGAGCTACAACTTTATGCAGTAGGTCCATGTCAGCAAATACCCACTCGTCACGTGCTGTTATTCTGAAGTCACCTTTGAAGAGGACATGGAGGCCATACAGGAAAGAATCCAGGCTGCAAAACAAAGTCCTATTACTATGGAACAAATTTCAGAATCCTGTCATTGTGAGCAAAGTTTGAGTCTCCCATTTGTCTAAGAATTATCTTAACATTTAGGCTGATATAGCAAGAAAATGAAGATAACAGGACTCATCCCAGTGCACCTAGTGCCTACCCCTACAGCCCATGTTTGGGCCCTCATAAGTGCTAGTGTCATGGCGTGGGCGTTGTCTTCAGTCATTTTAGGAGCCACCAAAGTACTTAATCACTGGATGTGACACTAGGATTCCAGGTCAGAACTGGCCTCACGTGTCCACTCAAAGTTAGAGTGCTAAAACACAGTTTCATCTACCCCAATGAAACCCCAGAGACGACCAGCTCCCCAGAGACGATGATGCTAACCGTGGAGTAATGCAGGAGACTTTCTTCTTCTTCTTTGCATTTCTATGTATCATTCTGGGGCTATGTCATTGGATTCAACCACAATATGGAGAGAGGAAATAAAACTAAATTAAATGTCAAATGGGTCATTTAGGTTCTCAGAGAACATGCATTTCCCAATCCCACCATTTTTTTTAATGATGAGAGGAAGAGGCGGAAGAGTGAGGCTTAAGAGGAAAGATTAAGCAACTTCAAC